>NC_000006.12:161585941-161737456 GCF_000001405.40 Homo sapiens
CTCCATAAGGGTAAATTTGTAAGGAAGAATTTCTTTAATTGTTTTTCCAAACATGCAATTCTGTGCCTCAATCGCTTCTTTTTTTAAAAAAAAGAACAGTTAGGGTGTCACTCTGTCACCCACTGTTGAGATCATAGCTCACTGCAGCCTCAAACTCCTCAGCTCCTGGGAGCAATCCTCCCTCCAGCTTCAGCCTCCAGAGTAGCTAGGACTGCAGGTATCTGCCACCATGCCTAGCTAAGTTTTAAATTTTTTATATAGAGACAGGATTTTGCTACGTTGCCTAAGCTGATCTAGAACTCCTGGCTTCAAGTGATCCTCCCACCTCAGCCTCCCACAGCACTGGGATTACAGGTGTGAGCTACTGTGCTCAACCTGCACCTTTGGTTTTGTCACTATATTGCCATAGCAAAATTCAGGTCAGTGGGACTTGAGTTTTGGTTTTCTCCACTGAGTTCCACGTTCTTGCTCACGTTTACTCCAGCTACCCTGGTGTAGAAATGAAATTACCCCAGTCCTCATGATGCAAGCGCTTATTCTGTGCCAACACCTTAAGCTCCGTTTCTAAATGAGATTTTGTGAAACGAATCAATCAATCAATATTAAAACTCAAGACTAAAATCTGTCTTTGATTTTTGTTCTTCCTACTGCTATTTCCACTGAAAAAAAAATTCTCTTTCATGTGTCCATGGGTAGAATATCCTTGCATTCTTTCTGTTGAAATAGTATGGTTCTAGTATTCACTAGCTATGAGATATTAAAGAACGGAAGCCATCTTCCTCATTATGTTTTATAACAGAGAAATATAACTCCCCAATTTACATCTAAGTTCATCTTAATAGTGCTTTATACAAAAAGTTCCTGAAGAATTACAACAGTTGGCCATTCTGCAAAGTGCCAAGGGACTGATTCTGAATCCAGAGCAACAACAACCAATTATGAAGAAATGGTCTCTGTGGCTAGTATGGTCTAGACACTAGCAAGCTACATATAATGAGACTGCTCTCTCCTTTCAAAGGCTGTGATTTAAATTTATAGGTGGGGTCAATGGGTTAATTTTCACTGCCTTGTTTTCACTACACTTACCGCTATTGAGGGGCCTTAAAATAGCTCTGCTATCAGAACTCACTAATCCAAATCAGTTTATAAAAACACTCTCAGATTAACAAATCAATGATACTTACACACCACAAAATTGGTTACCACTTAAAGGCTTTATTCTGACTAGATTTATAGCCTGCATAAATCCCATTCTCATGTAATTTAGATGGAAGACAAGCAAGAGGTATCTCTGCTGTCTACTCACAGCAGTGTAGGCCAAAAAGGAGAGCGATTCTTTATTATTGATGTTTAGCAGCTTGTGTTTAAAAGCTATAAAGAAGACGCAATGAAAATACAATAGATCAATTCCTAAATTTCCAGTATAGTTTACAAAATTTTAAGAGGGATTAAGGATGCTAGTAATTAACTTAAAAATAAGGGCATCATTATATGTCTGTGTAACAGAGATCTTTTCAGAAACAAAAAATCAAGATTTTTTTCTTTTCCAACTATAAATAAAGCAAAGCCTGTTTCAGATAAAATTCATCTGCCAAATACTTTAATGCTATCCTGAGGTTAAGAATGATGAAATAAGTTTGATCATTCTTATGGTAAAATGAAGGCTATTTAAAGATGAGTTTCATTCCTGCTTTTTTTTTAAAAAAAAACTTTTATTTCTATAAGTTTTTGGGAAACAGGTAGTATCTGGTTACACGAGTAAGTTCTTTAGTGGTGATATGTGGGATTTTGGTGCACCCATCACCCAAGCAATATACACCGAACCCAATGTGTAGGCTTTTATTCCTCTCATTCTTGTTTTTTTAAAGGTGTTTTGAACACATAAAACTCACTGTATCTAATATATTCTGAGCATTGGATTCTAGTAACATCACCTCTTAAGATGTAAAATCTCTTCATTTTAGTCTCTGTTGAGAATTAAAGACTGGTAAAACCAGTAATGTTTTTAGAAGCATATATTGCTGTCTGAACTTGGGATTTCTGATTCAAAATTCAGAGTAAAATTTTAGCTCTTGGGACTGCTACAGAAATATTCTATAAGCATTAATAAGACCATGTCAATAGAGCGTTAATTATTAGGATTAAAAATTTACTCTATGGGGGGCTGGGCGCGGTGGCTCATGCCTGTAATCCCAGCACTTTGGGAGGCCGAGTCGGGTGGATCACAAGGTCAGGAGTTCGAGACCAGCCTGGCTAACATGGCAAAACCCCGTCTCTACTAAAAATGCAAAAATCAGCCAGGCGTGGTGGCTCATGCCTATAATCCCAGCTACCTGGGAGGCTGAGGCAGGAGAATTGCCTCAGGAGGAGGCAGGTTGTGGTGAGCCGAAGAGGCGCCACTGCATTCCAGCCTGGGCAACAAGAGCGAAACTCTGTCCCCTCGCCAAAAAAAAAAAATTTACTCTATGGGTATCAATAATCAATGTGTTATTCTAACTCATTCTGTGCCTCATTCAGTAAAAGGCTATGAAGCAATTTAAGGATATTTGCAACAAACAAGTTGGTTTGCTGGTGTTGCTCTTGCTTTTTTTAATGAAGGGAAGACTGGAAAAGGGAAAGTGATGGCAATAAAAGTAAGGGCAAACTGGGAGGTGGGGCTGGACCTCTCGGTGCATACCGTAAAGCCCCATGATACTGATCCATGTGAGCCACCAACTTGGTTCTGAGTTTCCCAGCAATCAGAACAAAGAGGGCACCACAATCCCTAGAAAATACACCCAAAGTGGTTTTTGAGAGGACACCATCATCTCTAGAAAATAAACCCAAAGTGGCTCTTGAGAGAAGGACAGAACTTAATTTTGGCACAAGCCTAGGACTGCCAGATTTAGCAAATAAAAATACAGGACACCCAGTTAAATTTGAGTTTCAGTAAAGTACCAAGTCCTTTTTTTTTAGCCTAAGCCTGACCCAGATATTTTTGTTAACCTGAAATGCAAATGTAACCGGTATCCTCTAGTTTATCTGGCAGCCTTACCAAGCCATAATTCAGAGAGAATATTTGTAACAGAAGGCCATTTGTAGCATGTAGTTTTAGTTCTTGGTTTCTTAAGGAATGACTAGAATGAGAAATAGTATATTTCCTAGAAACAAAAGCTTCTAATTTCAACAACATCAGGACATAGTATACGGCATGCCGTCAAGAAACCTGCTGAAATACACCAGCAGATCTGAGCAGGAGCAAGTGCTGCAGAAGCCAGGGTAAGGAGGACGCGCAGAGACGCCCCGCTGCTGAGAGCGCCTGTGCTTCAGGGTCCACTGCAGGTCTGCACACCACAGGGTGGGTCACACCTGAGACGCCCGTATTTTAATTCCTTTCTCCCGTAAAGCCCTCACCTCACTCCACTCTAAGGATTTAGTCGGTGAAAAATAAGATTATACTTCAGACAAGGTTCAACCAAACATCATCAAATAAACCTATTCTAAGAAATGAGGAGTATCTGTATTCGATGGTAGAAGTTTGAAAGGAAATACAGATTTTTTTTTTTTTCCTTTCAAAGAGCTTGTTAAATTTGATCTCCCTCTTCAGGTAGATAACTCGTGGTCAAAGTTTTCAAAAGTTTCGACATGTAAGAAAGAGGAAAATACATGTAAGGCACACAAAAACCATCTATTTTGTGTATGTAATTCCAAAGGATTTTGCTTCTTTCATGGAATTGCATAGAGATGTTTGTCTTATTTTCAGACACTGATAAGCCATTATCAGTATCATCTTTACCTGTGCACATGTTTTTTGTTGAATTTCCTTTAAAATACAATGAATTGAAAAGGATTAAATTCTTTTTTTTTTTTTTTTTTGGAGACAGGGTCTTGCTCTGTCACCCAGGCTGGTGTGTAGTGGTGCAATCTCAGCTCACTGCAACCTCCACCTCCTTGGTTCAAATGATTTTCCTGCAGCAGCCTCACAAGTAGCTGGGACTACAGGTGCCCGACATCATGCGCAGCTAATTTTTTTTTTTTTTGTATTTTTACTAGAGACAGGGTTTCACCATGTTGGCCAGGCTCGTTTTGAACTCCTGACCTCAGATGATCCACGCACCTTGGCTTCCTGAAGTGCTGAGATTACAGGCGTGAGCCACTGTGCCTGGGCTAGAGTATTAAATTCTGAAATGCAATTATAATTTTATTTAGGATATATTTTACATCTAATTAAATAAATATCCTAAAATTAGCTTCACAGTGGAGAAACCTGACGGCCACCACTTTGACCAAGTAATCCAAGTTCATCCCACCAGTAATGGGACAAGCTGACACTGTGTGCCTACTGAGAAGGGTACAACATCCTCCTCCAACACTCTTGCCAAAAATGCATAACTTGGTTGGGTACGGTGGATCACGCCTGTAATCCCAGCACTTTGGGAGGCCGAGGTGGGTGGATCAGTTGAGGTCGGGAGTTCGTGACCAGCCTAGCCAACATGGTGAAACCCCATCTCTACTAAAAATACAAAAATTAGCTGGGCGTGGTGGCGCACGCCTGTAATCCCAGAACTTTGGGAGGCTGAGGCGGGCCGATCAGTTGAGGTCAGGAGTTCATGACCAGTCTGGCCAACATAGTGAAACCCCATCTTTACTAAAAATACAAAAATTAGCCAGATGTGGTGGCACACGCCTGTAATCCCAGCTACTCGGGAGGCTGATACAGGAGAATTGCTTGAACCCAGGAGGTGGAGGTTGTGGTGGGCCAAGATCATGCCACTGCACTCCAGCCTGGGTGACGACAGAGTGAGACTCTGTCTCAAAAAAAAAAAAAAAATTGCATAACTTGAGTCTAAACAGGAGGAAACATTAGACAAACACAAATTGAAGGATAGTCTACAAAATAACTGTCCTGCGCTCATAAAAAATTCCACAGTCATAATAGACTAGACATAATAGTCTAGATAAGAGGGGTCTAAAGAGATGTGGCAACTGGATGCAACATGTGAGCTGGGATTTTCTTCTTACTATTAGGTATGTACTGAGGATAAATTTTGAAATTTAAATAAGGTTTGTGTAAAGTATGGCATCAATGCTAATTTCCTGACTTCGATCATTATACTGTGGTTACATAACAGATTACTCCGGTATTGAGAAAACATATTCTGCAATCTTCAGAAGTAAAGGACCATCATGTTGGCAACTTACTCTCAAAGGATTCAGAAAAAAAATATATGCACATATGTACACAGATGGAGACAGGAAGAAACAAATGTGGTCAGTGTCAGCATGTGGGTATCTAGTTGAAGAATGTATGAAAAATTCTTTCTCTTGCACCTTTTCTCATGAGTCTAAAATTACGTCAAAATTAGAAAGTTCAAAGAAAAAGACATTTCCTTTGGTAAAAAAAAGTCACTCAGTATCACTAGGGGAGGCATCCACTTTGTTTTAAAGCTTACTGGGCCTGAAGGAAATGACACTCGAACAGCACAGCCAGCTATAGCTACAGCACAGAAAACCACCTCCACCCTCTCCCACAGGAGGGCTCCCCGGCTAGAGTTTTCTGAATACTTACTGGATAGTTCAATGTTGTTTTTTTGTTTGTTTTGTTTAGCTTTGCCTTGTTTTTTGTTTTTTACAGCTGAGAAAATTTGAGTTTCCACAACATCCACAGACAATCTGGACCATAATCAAGTCAGTGCAGTCTAAAGCAATGTTTCAAATATCCGAAGGTAAGGCCAGTTCTTTATTTTTTGATTGCTACTGAAACTAATTGAATAGTGTTATGAATGGAGTCAAATGATGTGCTTAATCAACTGAATATCCAATAATTCTGTACAGCCTATTCTATGTTAGTTTTCTCTAACTATAAGATATTCTAATGGAGAACAAGGAAAGGAATAATGCCATTTTTACCCGGCCCTTTAGAAGACAAGGTAAACTCATCTTTTCTAACAGGATATTGAATATGCATTTTTTTTTTAAGAATCCAAGCCTTACCTGTACGGTTGTCCCTTGGCGTCCAAGGAGTATTGATTCCACTACTCCTTTGGGATGCCAAAGTGACAATTGCTCAAGTCTCTGATATACAATGATGTAGTATTTCTATATAACCTATGCACATCCTCCCATATACTTAAAATCATCCCTAGATTATGTATATCTAATACAAAGTCAATGCTATGTAAATAGTTGTTATATTGCAATTTTATTTGTATTATTTTTATCGTTGTGTCATTTTTTATGTTCATTTTTTCCAAATATTTTCTATCTGCAGTTGGGTGACTCCTCAGTTGTGGAACCCATAGATACAGGGGGTTGACAGACACTAGGTTGAGGTAATGCTTCATGATTGTTGAATGTAGGATTTTGGATATGCAGAAACGAATTTCTACCTTAAAGACTGAGGAGCAAAATATAAGGAGACAATGCATTAAGCCCATCTGTTAATTTTGATTAGTTTTAATATTCTCTTTAATATACTCTTCTGTTTATATAATGTGGGGCTAGTAGACGAAAGAATATCAATATCATTTGATGATATTAATGTTCTGATTATGCCTATATTCCTTCTACAAATATATATGGCACAAAATCCAAATGCCAGGAACTGGTCTAGATAAGAGGAATACAGACGATTAGACACAGTTCCTATGCTCAGGGGATTTACACTCCACTAGATGATACTTAAGTACACAAACTAAAGAGAGAAAACCCTAAGGGCTATGGAGAAAGATGAAGCAGGGAAACTGTTGGAGGGAGAGGGAGGATCTGGAACATCAGCAAAGTCTTCACTAGGGAGGTCCCTTGTGCAGACCAAGGGACAGCCAGGACCAGCACTAGGAGGACGAGGGAACACAAGCAGAGCAGACAGGTCTGCGGGCCAGGGTGCCGCCAGGATAGGAGGGCTGGCGGGAGAGGCAGGAGGTCACCGCAGGACCTGAAGGAAATGACTCCTGGCCAGGGGCCAGATCGTGATGGTCTCAAGGGTTGAAGTTTAATTCCGAGAGTAGGGAGAAGGCACTGGAGGACTTGCACATGGTAGTGATGTCATAGCCTTCATATTTTAGAAGGCATTCTACATTATAATAATGTGAGATTTACAGAAGAGTTGTAACGACTGCACAGAGCGTCCTCAGATGCGCTGCACCCCACGTCCGCTGCTGTTAACATCCTACATAACCAGGCCATCTTCCCATAATCCTCTATATTTAAAAGGTGATCTGTCCCCTTACTGTATAGAAAATAATTACGAACTAATAATAACGACAATCATTATGAACTAATAACATCGCATGTCAACTGCATCCCAGGAGCTGTTCCGAGTGCTTCGCATGGATCACCTCCTTAGTCCTTACGGGCTGCTTTGAGTGTGAGGGCAGGGCTATTGATATTTTCATTATCCCCATTTAATGGATGAGGACAGTGAGGCAGGGAAAGGTGCATAAACCTGCCCAGTGTCACAAAACTAATATATGGTGAGGCTGGTTTCAAGCTAATATTGGCCAATCCCCAACCCTGAACTCTGGAATAGTCTGGGGGAGCAAAACAAGATCCAGGGAGCCCAGTTAGGAGGCTCTGGCTGTGGCCTGTGGTCAGCAGTGCAGCGGTCAGGTGGGAGGTGATGGCACCTGGGGGCTGGAAGGTGAGGCCAGCAGGTCTTGCTGGTGGGCTGCCCTGTGGAGCAGACAAAGGAAAAGGAGGCAGGGGTTGCGCTGCCACTTTTATCCTGAGGAACCGGCTGGACAGTGGTGCCTTCTACTGAGAGTAGGAAGACTGGGGAAGAGCGAGAGAGGGCTCGAGGAGTTCTGCTTCGGATGCCACATTGGCAAAGCTTATAAATTATCCAGTTGTAGCCAAGAGAAGAAGGTGAGTGTTTGGAGAGTAGAGAGTGACACACCAAGTCATGATGCTCAGGGGTCAAATAGGTGGAGGTGATAGAATTGACTGCTGGAGGCCGGGCGCAGTGGCTCATGCCTGTAATCCCAGCACTTTGGGAGGCTGAGGTGGGCAGATCACGAGGTCAGGAGTTTGAGACCAGCCTGGCCAACATAGTGAAACCCCATCTCTACTAAAAAAAAAAAACAAAAAACAAAAACCCAGCAGGGTATGGTGGCGCATGCCTGTAATCCCAGCTACTTGAGGGGCTGAGGCAGGAGAATCACTTGAACCCTGGAGGCAGAGGTTGCAGTGAGCCAAGACCATTCTACTGCACTCCAGCCTGGGTGACAGAGCAAGACTCCGTCTCAAAAAAACAAACAAAAAAAGAACTGACTGCTGGACTTCATGCCAAATCTATTTACAAATCAATTTAACACTCTTCAAGATGTAGAAATCAACAAAAATTGGTTCATCAATTTTCTGTCCTCAGCCTGTCTCCTCTTCCTCCCAGATCCCCATCCCAGCTCTGTCTTATGAGAGAAACAAGGAAAGAGAGAAGGAAGGAAAGAAAGAGGGGAAGAGGCTGTGGGCAAGATGGGAGAAGACATCAAGAAACCCAAAGGCAAAGAAAATGATGGCTTTCAAGAAGAGTGGCAGGCCACACCTCTTCCCTTTGAACAACAAATTCATGTCACTTCTTTCCAATATCAAGACACCCGTAGGACACAATAATATATTTTCTCTCAGATTTTTGTTAGAATTCAGTCAAACTGTCTGCTTTAGAATTTATTATCTCATGACATGAGCCTCTCATTACAGGGTCACATATTTGATTTATGACATCACCAGTTAAGTTGTTTCTAGTATAACACTTACACAGTTAAAATATATAAATATTTTTACATAGAAGTTATGAAATTTCAAGTTGACTGAATAACTGAACAACTAAAAACACTGGTTTTTTTATATTTGAAAATGTAACTACATGTGCAAGAAAATTATAGGTAATAAAATAATAGTGAAGAAAAGAAAAAAATAAGTGAAACAAGAAAATAAGGAAACAAGTGGATTACAAAATTATACATTCTAGAGAGGAAAAACAGTCAAATCAGATAGGCAGAAGCAGGGATACCTAAACGAACATGGATCAATACAAGTTCTTCAACTACATGAACACTGGTTGGGGGGGTCCCCAAGAAAGCAAAATCCAATGGAAAATGTGACTGTATTGGGTGGGTACCCTTTGTGCTATTCAAAAGGACAAACAATGCCGTGAGAAATCTAAACCTACAATGTAATTGTTGACTCCATAGTGTGACTATAAAGTAGTGACAAAATAATTATATACTTGTTTCTATTGTGTGTCAGATAAAACAGCACAAATTCTTGCACCCATGTATTACAAGAACATCAAAGAACACGTTGTCAGTGTTCAAATACGGCAAAAAGTTGAGAGGGAAGTTTTTCTGGTAATCTCTCACATTCAACAAACCACCGACAACAAGATACTCCAAAGGAACCCACAGTGTGGGGCGAGATGTAGGAATTTCATACACACAGACAAGAGGCAGGGGAGCTATGTTATTCAAGCTCAAGAAAAGTATGAAAGTAAAGGCTTCTGTTATGACACTGGGTTTTACCTGCTTTCCCATTGTTGTGTTACAAACCACCCCTTACTTTTTATTCTTTTCACAATCTCTTTCCACGCAGACACTCCATGTGGTTAGCTTGGACTTCCTGACAACATGGTGGCCTCAATGTATCTGGATTTCTCATATGAAAGCCCAGGACTCTTCACGAAGGCCAAGACGGAAGCTGACAGTCATGTCAAGAGCTAGGCCTGGCAGAGTGTCTTTTTCCACTGAACTCAGTGCAAGCAGGGTGAGGTCAGCCCAAATTCACAGGGCAGGGAAGTAGAACCTACCTCTCATTGGGAGGGGGATCACATTATTTGCAGTGATCTTTACTATGCCACAGGGTTGATCACCTTTATGGCAATTTGATTGCTTATCAGCCAAAAGGAAGGAGGTGGTGCTATAATTTACGGCGGGAAAGTGAAAAAAGAAAGAACATTCCTGGGTCACTTCTCTAGGCTGCCTCTGACTAACTCCACTGACAACTTTAAATCCACATCAGAGGTTGCATTTGAAACAGAAAGACAAGAAATACCTGCAACTAATGTTGTCCTGTGGAGTGGCCGGTGGCAGGGGACAGCTGAAAGATCCACACAGAAGGACAGGGGACTTGCAGACATGGGGTCGGGGTGAGGAGTGGGGACTGCAAGGAGACTGACAGCGTGGAGCTGCCAGCTGTACAAAGCTTGCTATACCTATCAGGGTTGAGGACTCATTTTTGTGTTTCGACACATTCTTGGCACGTTCCCCTTGAGCATGAGGCAGAACGCAACTGCCTTTGCTTATTTTATCTAGAGAATGATGACCAAGGTGCTCTTTCCCTAAAGAGAAGGCAGAACAAGAGGAGAGAAACACATTACTATGGTTGGAGGTTAAAAAAAAACACTTTTCTGGAAATAAAAGTTATTCACCACTAAAACAGTTTACACCTAAAAGTCAGAGAATCACTTATTTGGAAGATTTCTATCTTTACTAGTGCTTATTGTATAGGAAAACAACTATTTAAACAATACTCTTCACAATATGTATGTTTTTCTTTTTCTGACATTGTTTTCCAACTTTGGTTTGCTATTTTTTCCCTTTATTCCTCAACTTGTCTCCCACTTCTCAGCCTCCATTCATGTCTGCCTTGCCTTTCACCCACCAGTGGTCCCAGCGATATCGACAAGAAACCCCTAGGAACATTTAGCACACACAAAAAAAGCCTACTAAATCCCTTCCTGGTGGTCCCTATGCTCATAATTAAGTCGGTGCATTTCTGTCTGGAAGGAGAGTTACACTAGATTATTTTTCTGATCATTTAAGAGCTAGTGCCCATTAGTTATAACAATGGTTGTAGGAGAATGAAAGTGCTGACCAACTCCTATCTTTGCCTACACAATAGTTCTCTACCTCTTTCTTCCCTGAAGATGATTTGATGCAAGACCTGGCCTGAGAGCCTTCCATGTCTCGGCAGCAGGGACTCTCTGACTCAGAGAATTGATGGCTAATCTCAGTTTGCCTCAAGAATCCTATTCTCCGTGTACAGTGACTGTATTAGGAGTGTTCATAGGACCTAGTCTTGGCCAATGAAAAGTACCGGGAAGACTGCTGGGGGCTTCTGGGGAGTCTATCACTTCCTGATACCTAGAGAGAAATTCAAAAGAACAAGAGGCTTTGGGCCTCACGCTTTTCTTCCTGTTTGGATTCCAGGGTGATGAGATGTTATCTTGAGCTGCAGCACCTGTGGGCATGGGGTGATGAACACATGCCGAAAGGAGGAGCCCAGGGCTTCACAGAAGTGTTAGCTCCTAAACAGAGCCCTCACCTGCCAACCTCTGGACTTCTCATAACTAAACAGCAAATGTTCTCAGGTTTCAGACCTCAGCTGGTCAGGTTTTCTGTTATTGTAGCTAAAGGAAGCTGTGCTCCATGAATATTTTCATATTTCACATTTCTGCATAGCTAGGGCTTATTGAGTAAGGATTACTGGCAACCCAAGTTAAAGAATGACCGAATGGTGAACATGCCTTGGAATTCGAGATAGTGACTTGTTCCTGTGACATGTAAAGGCTCATCTCCTCTGCAGCCATTCACTTACCCAGGGGTGACAAAACTGGGGACCTTTCTCTCCTTTCTTCAGAGAAGATTCTTCCACATTCCCGGACAAAACTTCCTGCCTTGCTGCCCTCCACCCCCGACTCTCTCTCTCTCTCTCTGGAGTGGAGAAGGGACAAGTGTGACAGTTACTCTATGTAAGCTCCAAGTTTCATAATTCCAGAGGTCCTCTCCTGGGGAGAAAGCCCTGCCCATGCAGGCACATGTGGCCCTCACTGTACCATACCATGGGAGATTAGTGCATGAGGTACTGGTGCTGCTATGATGTTCTGTGAGTAAATAAAAGGTCTGTCCTCTGATCCAGCGTGCGCACACACACACACACACACACATATTCTAAACCCACATACACACATGTGTGCGTACACACAGTTAGGGTAGTTCATGTACCTACTTAAATGCATGCACAATTCTGTGTGTGCATTTTTCTTAGTGCAGAAGGGGAGAAGGTCCTATGGTTTTAATCAGATTCTCAAAGGTGTCAGTAATCAAAACAAAACATAACAAAATTAAGAACTAGTTACTAGAGTATAAATCTCTTGAGGAAAATAACATTGTCTTAATATCTGTAGGGCCTAGCACAGTGTTTGACATGCAGCAGATGCTCAATAAAAGCTTCCTAATTGAATGAATAGATAAATTAGTTGTGTGGTCCTCCAACTATGCTCGATGCCTAGTGCTCTGGGTGAAAGAAACAAGTATGTGACATTTAAATACAAACTCATAAGCCATAAACTCATAGAAACAGATGTATACACGACAAACTTGCATTTATCAGCATGAAAGTCTGATAAAGCTCTATATTGAGAAACATTCAATTGTATGATAGCATGGAACATAATTTTGTACATCCAAATGTTAATTATAAGAGAGAGAAAAGACCTGTAAATGAAAGAGAGAGATCACCGTGAGTTATCTACTTAACATACGGGCTTGGTCACATTAAGCATTCATTCTGCATTTAAGCATTCTGAATCTTAAGAATTTTAATTTGCCTTCTTAGCAATGAGAGGCTGGAGTAAAAACCCAAAACATATACACGCATATGATTTCTATATTATATGAATTTTGTATAAAACATGATTATCTTTCTCTAATTCATTAGCTAGTTTATCATAAGCATCCACTCGATGGAATGTGTTTTTCTTCCTTCAAAGCATAAGATACAGGATATTTAACAATATATGTTACGAAAGTATGTACAGCAGATAGATTAGTAAACTCTTCTTGTAACATACTTCTTCCAACTATCCTTTTTCTTTGGATGTTGGGTGGCCATGGATGTTATGGGTTGAATTTACTCCCCAAAGAGATATGTTCAAGTCTTAACCCTAAGTACCAATGAATATAACCTCATTTGGGAATAAAATCTTTGTAGAAGTAATCAAATTAAGATAAGGTCATGAGGGTGGGCCCTAATACAATATAACTCTTGTCCTTGTAAGAAGAAAAGAGACACAAAGACACACAGAGACAAAGCCATGTGATAACAGATCAGCTGTCTGAGTGATGCAGCCACAAGCCGAGGAATGCCGACTCCTGGCAACACCAAAGCTCAGACAAGGGGTGGGAGCAGATCCTTCCCAGAGCCTTCAGAGGGAGCTCAGTCCTGCCAACAACTTGATTGCAGACTTCAGGCTCCCAGGACAATGAGACAGTAAGTTCCTGTTGTTTTAAGCCATCCAAGCTTGTGGCAGATTGTTTTTTGGCAGCCCTAGGAAACTAATACAATGGGTGACAATGGATATATTCTTGTGACTCAGATCCTGCTAGTGCAATGTTGATTTCCATCTGTCACTATATAAAATCATTGACACTCAGATGGGAGGAGACAGATCAAAGGAGATCAAATCATAGAAAATAGAAGGATCTGAGAAGACCATTCTTTTAACATGCAATTGCCACTTAACCTAACCAAAAGATGTATTTTGTAACTTATCCTTAAGACTATTGTTCTGATAAAAATAACGTTTCTTTAGAGTTCTGAAATTCAAGAGCAAAATGATTGCCTCATTGGAATTACAGTTGACTTACATTTGAGACAGGGCATCTTGGACATGTCATTTGAAAATAAGGAAGGCATTGGACTTCCCTTTATACCAGGTAAACTTTCATTAAATTCAACCAAAGCCTGGCTTACAGCAATTTCTGTGCTCCCATCAGCTTGAATTGTTCTAGCTGTGTTTGGCAGTGCTGGGATAGGGATGGGGTAACATAATGATCTCTCGCTAGCTACCCAGTTTTCTATTTCTCATTTGTTCTTAAAAGCCTCAAACACTCCCAAAGTATTTTCTTAAAAATTGGGCTTTCGTTTATTTTTGGAAAGAAAACAATCAAATGTTGATGGGTGAGGAATGTACAGAGACAGCAACACAGGGATTCTCAAATGTTTCTGCTACTGGGTGTCTATGATGACAAAGGCGAGACCCAATGGTGCAATTTTCCCAAACATCCCGCACACGTGAAAACACCATGTTTGTTTCTTCAACCACTTCTTTAAAATCTGTTATATTAACATTCAATTAATGATATAATTTCTTTTTATTGTACAGTTCATTTTCTTAGAAAAGCTCTGGGTATTGAATCCTTAGAAGTTCCCCAAATTGCTATTTTGAATAGCCTAATTTTTATTCCTTACTTGGTATTATTATTTCTTCTTTCTCTCATCCTTTTCTGTTATTTCTCTACCCCTTTTCTTTGTGCATTTTGATCAGCTAGAGTTATATTCTTTTCCACTCCCAGAGGATACTTCAAATCCCATCACCCTCTCTGAACGGTCTTCCTTTTCTATCCTCATTCATCTGGGTGGACTTCTTCCAACTGCATCCTCCTGTTCAAATCCATGCTTGCCTGGGATCACACTGAGTCAGTGATTCTGATGGTAATTTTTTCAACAAGCATTTGTTAATCATTCTCTGTCCAAGTAGTAGGTCATAATAATTAGATACTTTAGGTAAGAGATAATTTGGGCCCAGTTTCTACCCTCTAGGTATGTCTTTATTGATATACCCAGACAGTACTAGTTAGTTAGTTAATATACTCCGTATACAATATACTCTAGAAAATTACGGTTCTGTTGAATTGGCATGCTTTTGTTAATGCAGATTGATGCTACATCTCCAACACTAACCTCAGTTAAACTTTTTACCTAAGACAAGGCATATTATGGGGATATATGTGTGGGAAAGAAGAAAATGTTCTCACCTACTAGATGGGTCTTTCTTTCCTTTCTTATTTCATTCTTTCTTTCCCTTTTCCCTTCCTCCCTGATTCCCCTTTTCTCTCTTTCTTCTCAGAAGACACTATTAAAGCAGCTAAGTCATAATCTTACAGGTCAGGGCAAAAATTAGAAAACTATTCAAAACCACTATTACCCAACTCCTAGGGAAAAAAATAAACCAAACTCCTATTAAAAAATTCATTACAGTTACCCTTGGGAATCATTCTTTCATCCATTCACTCATAATTCATCAGTGTATTTATTATTGAAAATTCCTAAGTGTCAGCTTACAACAAAGTCATCCTAAACTATATGAATCTTTTCTAAATAATCAAGACTGTATCTCAAATTACTCAACATTACATTTCTAAGAATTTACCATTTGACTTCATATTGAATATATTTGTTTTTCTATTTATGTCTTAGTCTGTTCAGGCTATTACGACAAAATACCATAAACTGGGTAGCTTAGACAAAAAAAATTTATTTCTCACAGTTCTGGAGGCTGGGAAGTCCAAGATCAAGGTGCTGGCAGATTTGGTGTCTGCTGAAGGCTTCTTCCCCATTGGTAGTGCTCCTAGTTGTGTCCTCACTTGGTGAAAGGGGCAAACAAGCTCCTTTGGGTCTATTAGATAAGGGTACTAATCCAGTCATGTGGACTCTGCCCTCATGATCTTGTAACTCCCCAAAGGCCCTACCTCTTCATACTATATCTTGGAATACTTTGAGGAGAATTAACATTAATTCTTCTTTAAGTATTTGGTAGAATTCAGCAATAAGGCCATCAGATCCTGGGCTTTTCTTTGATGGAAATGTATAGAAATGTCTAATATAGTGGATTTTTTTTTTTTTTTTGGACGGAGTTTCGCTCTGTAGCCCAGGCTGGAGTGCAGTGGCGCGATCTCGGCTCACTGCAAGCTCCGCCTCCCAGGTTCACGCCATTCTCCTGCCTCAGCCTCCCGAGTAGCTGGGATTACAGGCGCCCGCCACCACGCCTGGCTAATTTTTTGTATTTTTAGTAGAGACGGGGTTTCACCGTGTTAGCCAGGATGGTCTGGATCTCCTGACCTCGTGATCCGCCCACCTCGGCCTCCCAAAGTGCTGGGATTACAGGCATGAGCCACCGCGCCCGGCATATAGTGGATTTTAAGTCATCATTATTTAAGACACAATGTATTTAGCAAAACTAAAAACTGTTATTTTTTTAACAGGGTGCATGTAATGCTGTATTTAAATATCAAAAGAAGCTAATTCAATGTGATGAAGTAAAATAATTCGTATCACTTGCCATCTTTCAGTGGTTGACTAAAGCTGTTATCTAATAACCATATTTTTATCTAAGTATATTTAGGGGAGATTATCTATCTATCTATCTATCTATCTATCTAATTTGCCTATCGATTTACCTACCTATCTTATCTATGTAATCTATTTTATCCAATCAATCAATCTAATCAACCAACCATTCAATGTATCTCTCTATTTATCTATCATCTGTCTTCCAAAGTAACTTTCCAAACACAATTAGAATTTGTGCTATTTCTACGTATGACACTGAATTTTTACATCAATTACTTAAGCTATAAAAAAAACCTTCCACAGAAATAATCTTACTAAAACAAAACTGGGTGCAAGTGAAATTCAACACCGGCTTGTCTCCCAGTAGCCTTAGCATCTCTGCTATAATTTACTGAGAGTATAAAAGTGCTCATTCATTTGGACTTACTTCTGTTTGTTGCATAGGGCCTGTTAGTCATGCTATATTTCCTTACAAAATGTTAACATTGAGTTGTCCCTCAAGGAATATTTTAATGTGAGAGAGAAGTGTCAAGGTTAGAACTGCTGAGAGATTTGCTCTCTGTAGACTGCTGGACTGTAAATAATCAGCCATCTCCAGCATCAAGTGATTGCTCAAAAGATAGGATTTCTTTCTCTGAACTTAAAAATTTAGCATAACTTGTATTTACTTCATTTCAACATTTAGATCTGCATTTCAGAGCACTTTAAGAATGTGTTGGTAACTTATTAGGCCAATACTAATGCAGCTCAGCAAATGAATGCTTATTATGAGTAAACTAAGAACTCTAGGGAATATAAACAAGATCTAATCCTTGCCCTCAAAGAGCCCACAGCTTAGTTGAGGGGATACATAAACAAATATTTAAGTACAGTAAGAGGCAGACTGATAATGGTACTAATAAAGACTTCTGTTTTTATAAAGGTCTACACAGTTTTCAAAGCCCTTCACCCACATTACTTCCCTTGACCTGAACAAGAAATATTTCCAGTAGACCAGAAAGACTGAATCATCCTTAGTTTAGAAACAAGGAAAATGAGAATCACAACATTAAGGGTTGGATCCACATTCATAAGCGTAGCAGCAACAGTGCTAAATTGCCGATTTTTTTTTGGCACCATATTGACTATCTTCTGTGAAAATAATTAAATGGGAGGCCATCAGACAGAGGTGGCTCTAAAACCCCGGGTTCCTAAATCAGCAAACTGAAATATAACTCAGACTCATTTCCTATGATCGGCTAATTTAAAAGATGAAACTTGAACTCAGCTGATCACAGGCAGTCAACTTGGAATTAGTTATATTGTTCTGAACTTCCCATGGGAATCGTCCAAATAAGGTAATTGTTCAAACTTTAGCCAATTACATAATTTATTTGCTTCCAAATTTATCCTATAAAAGCTTTCCCTTCAATGACCTGTGGTGGAGCTCTGACCACTTGTGGCTAGATTCATAAATCACTGTTTGCGCACATAAGCTGTTTAAAATTTTAATACGCCTTAGTTTATCTTTTAACACTTCTATTTTATTCACTCTTCCCTCTGTGTTCTGAAATTTTGTTGACCTCTCTTACCTGACTTTTATCTTCTCTCTAACTCTTTGTGTTCTTGTGGACTTACACTATTTTAACTCCTTCCGTATCATTTTGATGGGGTTTGGGGAAGTAGCAGATATATGGAACTTCTTCAGGAACCCATGTGGGACAAAATTATTTCCATAAGCTCTGGGAATGCCTCACAGAGGACAGCAAATTTGACCTGGGTCTTTAGAAATGAGTAAGATTAGAGTGAGCTGCTGAGCTGAAAGGGAAATCCAAGAGAAGGAGGAAAATGGGAGAAGCTATGGTCTGAATGTTTATGTCTCTCATGAGTGTCCATGCATCTCAATTAGTACCCGTATAAAACAGCCCCTTCTACTATGTGAGGATGCATAAGAGGGCACCATCTATGAGGAAGTGGGCCCTCGCCAGACACCAAATCTGCCAGAGACTTTGTCTTGGACTGCCAAGCCTCCAGAACTGTGAGCAATAAAATTCTGTTGTTTATAAGCCACCTGGTCTATGGGATCTCATTATAGCAGCCCAGATGGACTAAGACAGGAGACTTTTAAGCCCACATGATAAGCTACGTTAATATAGAGATCAATGCTTTTCTTTTTTTTCCAGGGTTGAACCTTAAAAAGAGGTCAACTATTTGAAACTAAACAAGTTCTTGTAAATTAAAAAAAGCACCTTCAAAACACAGAGACAATCCAGACCATTTAGTTTAAGACATAACTTTGAGCCTTTCAGCTAGAGCGGGTTTTCAAAGTAGGAGTCATGAAGCTGCCTCCAGGAGGATGGCATTCTTTACACAACAGAAAGCCTCCACCATGGTGATATGGATGGGGGTGCAGAAGACAAACTTAGCCTCCAATCTACTCGGCTAACAACTCCCTAGGCCTTTAGGGCAGAACGGGTGGCCAGAATCGAAGTCAAATGGAGTTTATTCAGCTGGAGGAAGAACTTGCAGCATGGTTGCTCAACTTCAGGCCACGGATTTGATCCTACTTTATAGAGATGAGAATGAGTCTCTGAATGCACAGTGTTTAGGTTAGAAATCTGACACATTGGCAAGCATGAACGGTTCATGCCTGTAATCCCAACACTTTGGGAGGCCAAGGTGGGCGGATCACTTGAGAACAGGAGTTCGAGACCAGCCTTGCTAACATGGCGAAACCCTGTCTCTACCAAAAATACAAAAAAGAGCCGGGTGAGCTGGCACATACCTGTAATTCCAGCTACGCAGGAGGCTGAGGCAAGAGAATCACTTGAGCCTGGGAGGTGGAGGTTGCAGCGAGCTGAAATGATACCACTGCATTCCAGCCTGGGCGACAAGTGAGATTCTGTCCCCAAAAAAGAGAGAAATCTGACACATTCTTAAGAGACACCATAAAGGGATTTACTTGTTACTGAAAATCTTAGATTAGCTTTTTTCTCTTTGATTAAAAAATAACATAAATTAGAATAAAATACAGATTTAAATTTATATTCTATTTTATTCTATATTTTAGAGAAACATATTTGAGTTCCTCAACATCTAATATTTCTGCATTCTCACAGTATTTCTGTGATGTAATTTTTCAAAGGATCTGTGTACCATCCACCCCTTTCAAAGCTGAGAATTTCATATTAGATCATTGCAGCTTTGGAGAAAAATGCATTAAAATATAACAGTTCACATTCTTTTGTGAGAAAACATATATACAGCTATGTACCCGTATGTGTATATGTGCATATATATTACATGTACATATAGAATGTACATGTGCACACAGACACATATACATTTACACACATATGTATTTTGATATTTCAAATGCTCAATGCAGCATGGCCATAGGTAATAGCAATCTATTCTATTTTTAGTGGTAGCCATGTCATACAGATGTTTTGACACCATTGTAAATAGCAGAAAGGGGCTGCCCTCTCTCTTTTTTTTTTTTTTTGAGATGGAGTCTTGCTCTGTCACCCAGGATGGAGTGCAGTGGCGCGATCTTGGCTCACTACAAGCTCTGCCTCCCAGGTTCAAGCGATTCTCCTGCCTCAGCCTCCCAAGTAGCTGGGATTACAGACACGTGCCACCACGCCCAGGTAATTTTTGTACTTAGTAGAGATGGGGTTTCCCCACGTTGGCCAGGCTGGTCTCGAACCCCTGGCCTCAAGTAGTCTGCCTGCCTCGGCCTCCCGAAGTGCTGGGATTACAGGTATGAGCCACTGCACCCGTCTGGACTACCCTCTCTAAAGAACAATGCCAAGCAGAAATTACAACCCTCTGATGAGTGGCATATAGAGAAAAGCATCCTATGGTATCAGCCAGAGGAGAAAATAGGGGCTCTACAGCAAGATGCGGACATGTGTGCAAACACCCTGAGCCAAGAGTTTCCTCAGGAACCAACCATAAGCTCTTTGGGGGCCTGTGGTGGTGGTAGTCCTAGGAGGTGGAGATGGGGGTTCGAGGAAATGCAGAAGGTTTTGTATGTAATGAAGTGTTTTCTTTTCATGGACAGAGACTGTTTTTCTATCCCAAAGGTCTGGGGGAGCCATAAAAACATTTTAGGGAAAATGTCATCAATTCCTGTTTTAGAGTCACAATGGCAGGGTTGGTGTGAAGAACAGGCTGATATTGGAAGGCCAATGTGGAAGCTGCTCAACTCTCCAGTTAAGTGTGATGTGAGCGTACACTAAACACACAGCAGGAGGAAGGGAGGCTGGGAGACACATTTAAGAGCTAACTAGTAGGTAGCATTGAGAGGAGTTGGTGACTACCTAGATGTGGTAAAAGAAGGAGTCTGGGATGACTTCAGGGTTTCCAATTTTGACCAGTAGGGATGGTGGTGACAGTAACTGAAAAAAGAAAAACAAGTGTTCCAGTTCCATGTGGCAGACTGAACAAATGTGTTTAAATCTCCTACTTCCTAAAGCCTGACTAAAATGATATTGGTGCAGAAGGGAAATAAATCTATAAGGACAAAGAGTTTGAGAGAGAAGAAAAAATCAGAAGAGAGATGTTAATCAAATCATAGAACACAGATGGAATGGTAGAACCTACTGTATTTAGCAGAGCAGAGAAAGCTAAAGCCTCACTGTCTGCAGAAGGGAAATTCAGTCATAATCAAGGCCATTTAGGTGCAGCACCACCGGAAGGCCCAGGACTGGAGGATCCAGGTCCCTGGCAAATTCAGAGAAAAGAAAGGGCCCAAATGAGAATAAGTACTTGAAAATCTCATACAGTGAGCAGTAAGATGACAGCATCCCACCCCCCAGCCTATGAAGCTGGCAACTTTCCCTGCTTCCCCAGGCTGAAGACAAAATGTTCTTTTCCCAGAGTAGCCCTACAGAGTGGATCTGGGCTCAGGCCACCTGGCACAGCATGGGGGGGAGATGAGGGGCTTTATTGAAATCAGGGAATTACATGGATGACTGCATGTTGATTGGTGATAGCTCAACCCCTTTGTTCTGCCTCCCTTCCAGACTGACGGCATCCAGATTTAATAAAACCCTACACCTCCCCACCACTGGGCAGGACATTATTGTAGACTTTCTATCTGCAGTTGTGGAGTCCTACCACCCTAGAAATAGTCCAGTGTTTGGGTGCAGGTGTGCCCCTTCCTCACATCCTGTTCACTGCTCTACTACAGGTACTCAGGTGAAATGCAGAATTTAACAAGCCTGACCTTGCACACGGTTTCCAATCAGTTTTTTTAAAATGCTTTTAAAAAAAGTATGAATGAAAAGCAAATGAAGACAAGACATCTGGAGAAAGTCTTCAGTACCAAAGGTAAGAGACTCCAAGAAACTGAAAAGGAAACAGAAAACAATTTAGGGAAGAGTAGAAGACTTAAAAAAATCAAACACAACAAACACTCAACTACAATCAATTTCTTTGAATAGATAAGATAATGGTATAAAGAAAAAATATTTGGAGAAAAAGAAGCGGTCTTAAATATTAAAATGATGACGGCAGAAAATTTTAAAAATTTAGTCAGTTTGGAAAACAAGTTTGGAGAAATCTCTTTGAAAGAAGAGCAAAGAGGTAGAGGAATGGGAAACAGGAGATGGGAGATTTAAAGAAAGAAAAACAAAGAATTGACCTAACACGTTTCATATCCAAGATGTAGGAATCCCAGAAAGAGAAAATAAAGTGGAGAAAAATATCAAATAATTAAATACAAAGATGTTTCCCAGTATAGAAGGTCATAGGTTTCTGGCTTCAAGGAGCCACTGTATAAGTAGGCCCAGAACAATGAATGAGGAAGGCCTGAGCCAAGGACAGCCGTCACAGTGAGCAAATGGATGATGGGCTGGGGGAGAACAGGAACAAGAATCAGAATGGCCTTGGACTTCAGCCACCAGCCCTGAAAGCTTGAACAGAATGCCTTCAACATTCTGAAAGAAAATAGTGCCTTACCTAGGTTTCCCTATTCCCAGACAAACCATTGATCTAGTGTTGGGGGGACAATAGAGAGAAAAATCAGTGCAGAATAAACCTGGCATTCGGGACAATGTGGACGACAGTGCCCTCCGCTGTGCTGGAGGGTCCTGACAGCCTCAGGAGGAGTGGGACCTCAGAATGCATGTCTCCAATTGGAAAAATTGGGGAGAAAATGATATGTGATTTTTCGTGATTATACTAAGAGATTTATAATTCTATTAGAAAGTTTGGGGCTGAATTAATGACGACTTTACCCAAACCCAAGTGAACAAGCAAATGAAAAAACCAAGTCAATCACTAAATCCAAGAAAAATAAAATAGTTGTATAAGAAAGGGAATTATAATACCTAGTCTGAACAATGCTTTTAATAGAGGAGGTGTGTGTGTGGATGTGTGTGTGTGTTTGCAGGCACATGTTGTGTACAGCATTAAACCTTCATTGATCTTTCATAGCTAGAATTTAGCAGATAGTAGTTAAAATTAAAGTAAGAAAAAAATAGCTGGATAGTCATACTATATTTAATTTTTTTTTTTTTAGACAGAGTCTCTCTCTGTCACCCAGGCTGGAGTGCAGTGGCGTGATCTTGGCTCACTGCAATCTCTGCCTCCCAGGTTCAAGTGATTCTCCTGCCTCAGCCTCCAGCGTAGCTGGGATTACAGGTGTGTGCCACCACGCCCGGCTAATTTTTTTTTTTTTAATTTTTAGTAGAGATGGGGTTTCACCATGTGGGCCAGGCTGGTTTCGAATTCCTGACCTCAAGTGATCCACCCGCCTCGGCCTCCCAAAGTGCTAGGATTACAGGCATGAGCCACCATACCCAGCCTAGAATTTTTTATCCTAAGATTCATCTTGGGCTCTTTCACTGATTTATTTTATTATTATTACTATAATTAGGCTGCAGCTTAGGTTGTCATCCAGGTGGCAATGTTGTCACAGTTGTCATTGCCTGCACATGCCCGTCAAACATACAGAATAGCTGTCAGGAGCTTAGAAGAAAATTCCAAAGACAGTAGCTGCTCACTCCTTAACTAAGGGCAGCATCTTCAGCACTCTTGCTTGTTGAGAGCATGGTATTTGGAAACCATAGTTTCTGAATTATGGGACATAGGTCCCATATGTCCAATTATGGGACAACCATAATTCTGACACTGCAAGTGAGCTAGCTAGGAGATTGCATTTTGAATGTGTTAAAAATATCTTAATCTATTTTACTTTTAATTTTTTATACATGTACAAGGGGGATAAATAATGAAAAAGTGTCTCATATATTTCTACTCTAAGAGCACTTTTGATAAGTATTAAATATAAGTCTGAGAAATTTGAAGTGATACAAAGTCTTTCAGAGTTCATTAACAGTGTTTTTTTATTTTTTCTTGATGATGAAGAAAATGATACTGTTTTTTAGTTCAATGGCATCTTAATAACTATTTGGTGAAACTACAAAAGAATGAAAAGTGATTCTATAGGAATAAGGAAAGTGAGTAGTTTACAGATATTTAACACTAAATGACAAATGTGAGGTTTCTTTGATGAAATATTGAAATTAAATAACAGAAAAGCTTCTAGGAGATGGGGCTTCGGGCAGATGGTTGGCAAAGTTGAGCTGGGCCTGAGATGATAATACATGAACTTTCCTTTAAGAACCTGTTTTTCCCTATTCCACCAAAACCAAAACAAAAAACCCTAAGAAAACACTGCAAGTGAAGATCTACTAACAGGCAGGTTTTGGGCATGGAGATTCAGGGCGAGGTCTGTGCTGGACTCAGCTTGGGGAGTCGCAGTGCCTGGGGGCTGGACTACGGTTAGAGTTCTCCAGTCACCAAGAACCTGCTGTTTCACTGAGGACCAGAAGCACATGAAAGGAGAATGCTTTTCCAATAGCTTCAAAGGAGTCGAATTGTTTTGAATAATTAGCTATGAGACTGTTCCCCATAGTTTACAAAGAAAAGTCATTGATATATTTTTAAGGTCATCATTTGATTCACAAAATAAGCAAAAAAAATTTTTTGAATGAGGCAATGACTCAGAGTGCAGAATTATTTTATCATTATTCATGTAAAAAGATATTAATAAATTGTATTATGTGCCAAGCACTATGCTAGGAACTCAAACTGAATTATTTCATCAACTCATCCCAAAAGCACTAAGGAATCATTACTAACACTGTCCCTGTGTCACAAAGAGGGCAACTTGCCCAGCGTTGCATGGGAGCTGGCCTGTGGTGGGAAAGTGGGTTCTGACTCTGGGGGCAAAGCCGGGAGCTGGGATGTCCGCGAGCTGCTTCTGAACGCTGCCCATAGGGAGTTATCTTTTGTAAGGTCCTTCAGCACCACCAAAATACGTACCTCTAAAAATTACGGGCAAAACAGAAACAGGGCAGGTATTTCGTTGGTTGATTGACCCACTTATTTATTAATTTATTCAATAAATATATATTAATATATAACTAAGAAAAATGTATATGTATATTAATAATACACACACACACACACACACACACACACACACACACAAATTTAAGAACCTCTATGGACCAGGCACTGTGAGGAGTACCAGGGATATGACAGTGAAGAAGAGAAAATAAACACCTCAAACAACCCAGGATGTTGTGTTGCTTGATATTGGGTGCCGTAACAAGTAGAACAGGAGGAGCAAATAAACCAGGGAGGCAATGGGGCCAGGGTGGTCCAGGGAGGATGTGGAGGAAGGTCTGGGGGAGGCTATCAGCTGTGCACAGTGCCCAGGAAAGAGGATGCCAGGAGGGGCCTGGGCTTGGCCGGGGTGTCCATAGCAGAGCCAAGGTGCTTGTGTTGGAAAGAAGGGTCGTCCACGTGGCCAGAGGTTGTGATAGGAGAGGGGTGGTCACAAGGTGTCACCGAAGAGGTAGAGAGGAATCTGGCACTCACAGATAGAGTTGTTTGAATTTTATTCTAATTATAAAGGGCAGTTACTGGAGCATTTTGAGGGCGGGGATAGGATCTGATTTGCAGCTGAAAACTATCGATGCCCTGAAACAGGAGCTTGAAGCCTTGTTCTCACGTCTAAAGCCATCCAAATATAGGGGCCACTGTGGTTTTTGTCTGGTTTTACAACTCAGTTAATCCCAATGAATAATTGAGTACATAAAATCTATTAATTAGGGCTGTTAAAAAAGATGTGATGGAAAGATGATCAATGGAACCACCAGGCGTGGAAATAATGTGAGTCTATGTGCGTATATGCAGGGCGAGCTTGAGCTTCACCCAAAATCTGTGGGTCTAGAACTTACTTCTCTCTTACAGCACAGGCACACCTCTTCTTCTTGTGTGTCACTTCACTGCATTTTACAGATGCTGCAGTTTTTACGCATTGAAGGTTTATGGCAACCCTGCATCGAGCAAGTCTGTTGATGCCATTTTCCCAACAGTGTGTGCTCACTTTCAGTCTCTGTCCATTTTTGGTAATTCTCACACTATTTCAAACTTTTTTGTCATCATCATATTTGTTATGGTGACCTGTGATCAGTGATCTTGGATGTTACCATTGTGATTGTTTGGGAGCACCATGAAATGTGCCCACATAAGAGGGTGGACTGAACTGGTAAAGTGTTGTGTGTGTTCTGACTGCTCCACTAACCAGACCTTCCCCTGTCTTGCCCCTTCTCCTCAGGCCTCCTTATTCCCTGAGTCATAACAATTTAAGTTAGGCCAATTAATAAACCTACAATGGCCTCCAAGTGTTCAAGTGAAAGGAAGAGTCACACAACTTCTACTTTAAATCAAAAACTAGAAATGATTAAGCTTGGTGAGGAAGGCATGTCAAGTTCTAGATCTCTTGCACCAAACAGCTAGCCAAGCTGTGAACTGGGAATGCAAACCAGGAGCTATTGAAGGACATTTAAAATGCTACTCCTGTGAACACACAAATGATAAGAAAGCAAACAGCCTTATTGCTGATATGGAGAAAGTTTGAGTGTTCTGGATAGGAGATTAAACCAATCACAATACTCCATTAAGCCAAAGCATAATCCAGAGCAAGGCCCTCTCTTCAATTCTATGAAGGCTGAGAGAGGTGAGGAAGCTGCATAACAAAAGTTTGAAACTATGAGAGGTTGGCTCATGAAGCTTAAGGAAAGAAGCCACCTCCATCACATAAAGTGCAAGGTGAAGCAGCAAGTGCTGATATAGAAACCGCAGCAAGTCATCCAGAAGATCTAGCTAAGATCATTGATGAAGGTGGCTACACTAAACCACAGGTTTTCAATGTAGATGAAAGAGCCTTCTATTGGAAGAAGATGTCATGGAGAAGTCAATGACTGGCTTCAAAGCTTCAAATGACAGGCTGATTCTCCTTAGGAGCTAATATAGCTGGTGACTTTAAGTAGAAACCAATGCTCATTTACCATTCCAAAAATGCTAGGGCCCTTAAGAATTATGTGATATCAGCCAGGCGCGGTGGCTCACACCCATAATTCCAGCACTTTGGGAGGCCGAAGCAGGTGGATCATTTGAAGTCAGGAGTTCACGACCAGCCTGGCCAACATGGTGAAACCCCCTCTCTACTAAAAATACAAAAATTAGCCAGGCGTGGTGGCGTGAGCCTGTAGTCCCAGCTACTCAGGAGGCCGAGGCAGGAGAATTGCTTGAACCTGGGAGGCAGAGGTTGCAGTGAGCTGAGATCATGCCGCTGCACTCCAGCCTGGGTGACAGTCAGACTCCATCTCAAAAAAAAAAAAAAAAAAAAAAAGAATTATGTGAAATCTCTGACTGTGCTCTATAAATGGAATGGCAAAGACAGGATGAGAGCACATTTGTTTACAGATGCACATGGTTTAATGAATATTTTAAGCCCACTGTTGAGACCTACTGCTCAGAAAGAAATATTCCTTTCAAAATATTACTGCTCAATGACAATGGACCTGGTTACCCAAGAGCTCTGATGGAGATGTCCAAGGAGGTGAATGTTTTCATGCCTGCTAACACAACAGATGAAGGGATAATTTCAACTTTTGAGTCTTATTAAGAAATATATTTCATAAGGAAATAGCTGCCATAAAAAGTCCTCTGATGGATCTGGGCAAAGTACACTGAAAACCTTCTGGAAAGGATTCACCATTCTAGATGCCATTAAGAACATTCATGATTTGTAGAAGGTCAAAATATCAACATAACAGGAGTTTGGAGGAAGTCAATTTCATCCCTCCTGGATGACTCTGAGGGCTTCAAGACTTCAATGTAGGAAATAACTCAGATGTATTGGAAACCACAGAAGAACTGGAAATACAAGTGGAGCCTGAAGATGTGACTCAATTGCAGCAATCTCATGATAAAACATGAACTGATCAGGAGTTGCTTCTTATGGATGCGCAAAGATTTTTTTTTTTTAAGTTGGAATCTACTTCTGGTGAAGACACTGGGAACATTGTTGAAATGACAATAAAGGATTTTGAAAATTACATAAACTTAGTTGATCAAGCAGTAGCTTTGAGAAAGTTTGAGAGGATCGACTCCAATTTTGAAAGTTGTTCTACTGTGGGTAAAATGCTATCAAACAGCATCACATGCTACAGAGACATCTTTCATGAAAAAAGAGTCCAGTGATGTGGCAAACATCACCGTTGTCTTAGAAATTGCCACAGCCACGTCAAGCTTCAGCAGCCGCAACCCTGATCAGTCAGCAGCCATCAACATGAAGGTAAGACCCTCTCCCAGCAAAAAGATAAGGATTTGCTTTATTGCAGTGGGCTGGAACTGAATCTGCAATATCTCTGAGGTATGTCAGTATTCATTTTCTACTGCCATTATAATAAATCACCATAAAACCAGCTTAAAACAATATCCATTTATCTCATAGTTTCTGTGGTTCAGAAGTCCGGGCACAGCGTAGCTCAGCTTCTCCTCTGCCCAGAATCCCAAAGGCCAAGATCAAAGTCCAGCACTGCTCTGTGGGGCTCTGGAGAAGAACCTGCTTTCAAGCTCATTCAAGTTGTAGCAAATTTCAGTTTTGTAGGGATGTAGGATTGAGGTCCCTTTTCCTTGCTGTCTACCTGGAGGCACCTGTACTCCCTGCCTGCTTCACAGCCAGCAGGGGTGTCTCAAAAGCTTCTCCTGCTTCCCCTCCATCTCTATGCATGCCTCCACCTTTCTCTTCAGCCACATCTCTCTGGTTGCTTTTAAGGTCTCCAGGGGTGAGTTTGGAGAGCCTCCCTATTTGAGGTCTGTGACCTTTATAGCTGTAGCTGCATTCGTGTTTAATGGCATAACTAGAGGACAGAATCTTGGAGGACCCTCTTTACAATTCTGCCTACCACAATAAATATTTTTAGTGATGGAGACATTATTTTAAACCAATTCACTGAGGACCAAAGAGGGCTCTATTAAGCAACTCAACAACAACAAAGAGAAACAGATTTGAGACAAACATAATTTAAACAAAGCTAGAAAAGGCTTTAAAACATCTTTTAGCATGCCTTGCATTAGTAAGCACATGTGCAAATGTATGCCATCAGAAGGCTATGGTAATATCTATTTAGAAGTGCACCACCGGACTGAAATCTAGACTATGTTGAGATTGTATTTCTCAATATTTCTGGTATAGTAGGTGTCTAAGACTTCTTATCAGTTATTTAATACAGACATTTAAATAGTTGATATTGTTTCACATATATGTATAGACACTACAGTGGGAATGTCTAGTTTTATAAAAACAAATCTATTTGGTGCCACTAATACATGAAATTTTGACAGGTGGCAGAAATCAAATGACATTTACAGAAATTCAAACAAAATCTTCGCTTAATATTACTCTCCTTTCCCCCACCCTTAATCAATCTTGAAATGTCAGGCTGCAGGCAGCCACTGTGTCTATTTGGAGGTGGATACTGAAGCTGACCTCCCAGAATTTCCTCCTTCCATCCCCCTTGGCAACAACAGCAGTTTCTTATTTTTAGTTTTCTGGGAGAGGAAGACAGAGAGAGAGAGAGAGAGAGAGAGAGAGAGAGAGAGAACACTGAAACTGTATATTTCTATGAGATGCTGGAGTCTGATAGGTCCTTTGAAGAATGAAGATGCAAAAATATTAGGTTGATGCAAAAGTTATTGCAATTTTTTCCATTACTTTTAATAGCAAAAACTGTAATTTCTTTTGCACCAACCTACACATTTTTCTTTTAATGAGATGATAAGCATATAGAGAGGGGTCTTGAAACAGCTAGATGCCTTTTGTGTTATTTTGGGGCTTCTAGGCTGCCTTTCTGCTGCCCCCTAACCCTCCCTTCATCTCCTCATCCACACTTTTACAATAACCCCAAAGCTATTATTAATATTAAGGACCAATAAAAAGTTGGTAGAATTTAGAGAGATTGAAAATATTTTTTATTTCAGTGAAAGTTAAATATCTGGTCTAGAGAAATACTCAGGGTATAAATATGTCAATACTTTCATGGCTGTTCTCATAAAACTCAGCTCCAAATTTTAGCTAGGAAAAAACAGCAGAGTGTCGATGAAGAGAAGAATGAAATTTCAGGATTCCTGAATGACCACTAAACTACCAATGCATCCAACTATGTTACAATAGCCACAAGCACCGGCAAACAGCCAGCCAGCCAAAGGCTGTGGCAGCAACGTGGGCTGCCAGGACCCTTGCTCCGGCCCCATGCCTTGCTCTCTTTCCATAAAGGGGGTCATGTGATACAACCGTGGCAATGCCACAGGGCAGAATCTGCAGTGAGTTCCTAAGGAAGCTTTTGCCTCCCTCTCCTCCTGCATGCAATGGGGAGCTGATGGCTGCAGTGGCTGCAACGTGGACCTGACTATGAAGCAAAGGGGGAGAGAACTGCAGACGAGCTGCCTTCACACAACATCATGAATCCATGCCAGGACCACGTACCCCGACCTTTTTGTTATGTGAGGAAAATCACCCTCTCTCGGGTAAGCATCTGTAGTTGGGTTCGTGCTGCTTATGGCCTCCAATAGCCTGAATGGTAACACACACTTCTCACCAGGACTCCCTCAGGGTCTCCCGTCTCTCTTCTGGCCGCTCTCTCTCCCCAGCCCTCCTCCTAGCTACCACCCCTTGCTGCTGATGCACTGACTTTGATGCTCTGCTGAACTCTCGTGTGGCCTGTCAACTTGCCTGAACTCCCTGTCCTGCTCTGTTCATTTTTACTCCCTCCTGACACATAGCTCTGTGTGCTTCTTTATTTGGTAGCCTTTGCAGCTCAGAGTAAAAGGTATTTCATTTGCGAAAGCAACACAACACAACAGGTTTGCCTCCTGCTCTCCCTGCAAGGGGAGGGGCCGGACTCATCCCATCCCTTTTAAACTTTAAACCACTATTAGGACTGCTGAAGGGAAAATTAGTGTGTAAAAATAAAATGTCCCCAGTGATGTGCACACCCATTTTTCCATGTGTTCTTTTTTTTTTTTTTAATTATACTTTAAGTGCTGGGATACATGTGCAGAACATGCAGGTTCGTTACATAGATATACACATGCCATAGTGGTTTGCTGCACCCATCAACCCGTCACCTACATTAGGTATTTCTCCTAATGCTATCCCTCCCCTAGCCCCCCACCACCCAACGGGCCCCAGTGTGTGATGTTCCCCTCCCTGTATCCATATGTTCTCACTGTTCAACTCCCACTTACGAGTGAGAACATGTGGTGTTTGGTTTTCTGTTCCTGTGTCAGTTTGCTGAGAGTGATGGTTTCCAGCTTCATCCATGTCCCTGCAAAGGACATGAACTCACCCCCTTAAGGCTGCAAAGTATTCCATGGTGTATATGTGTCACATTTGCTTTATCCAGTCTATCATTGATGGGCATTTGGGTTGGTTCCAAGTCTTTGCTATTGTGAACAGTGCTGTAGTAAACATATGTGTGCATGTGTCTTTACAGTAAAATGATTTATAATCATTTGGGTATATACCCAGTAATGAGATTGCTGGGTCAAATGGTATTTCTGGTTCTAGATCCTTGAGGAATTGCCACACTGTGTTCCACAATGGTTGAACTAATTTACACTTCCACTATCAGTGTAAAAGCATTCCTATTTCTCCACATCCTCTCCAGCATCTGTTGTTTCCTGACTTTTTAATGATCACCATTCTAATTGGTGTGAGATGGTATCTCATTGTGGTTTTGATTTCATTTCTCCAATGACCAGTGATGATGAGCTTTTTTTCATATGCTTGTTGGCCGCGTAAATGTCTTCTTTTGAGAAGTGTCTGTTCATATCCTTCACCCACTTTTTGATGGGGTTGATTTTTTCTTGTAAATTTGTTTAAGTTCTTTGTAGATTCTTGATAGTAGCCCTTTGTCAGATGGATAGAGTGCAAAAATTTTCTCCCATTGTGTAGGCTGCCTGTTCACTCTGACGATAAATTTCTTTAGGTGTGCAGAAGCTTCTTTTGGTACTTAAAATATTTTTAGTACTGCATTGGCAAATCAGGAAAATGCTGATGAGAAGAAAATGTACTTGCTCCGTTATTAACAATCTACATTTCGCTATACCTTTAAAACAGACTCATTGAGGTTTTAGACTCAATTACTGTAAAGCCAGCATACAGTGTATGGGACCAGGAACTTGCACACTGTGTGATTACCACAGAGTTTTCAGGGAGGAATATAATGACAAACTTTAGTGAGATGGGTTTGTGGTATTTATATTTTTTCTTATTTCTTTTTAGCTAGGTGTTTCTCATATCCAACATAAGTGGAGGTTTGAATAAGCTAATAGATTATACAATAGATTTGAAGGTACAAACATGTTTTACATATGAAATGGCATGGGATGGGGGGCAACCTATTACAATCCCAGGAAGCCAGTGCCAGAACTGCCAATCGGAAGATATGGCCTGGGCCTTCCTGTTAAATCGGTAGATTCCTTGTCTATTAGAAAATGCTTTAATGTACTCATCAATGAATTACAACAAAGGAAAAAGACTGTGAGAAAGTAAAATCCTTAAGGCTCACCTAAATCTGACCAAAATGTGCAGGTAGAACCAGTGTATGGGACACCAAACGGGTGCTGTACCTCTCCACTTCCACACTGAAGCTTGGAATTATGTATGATCATAAGAACTACTCTGTGTTCATGACAATTTGCTTAATCAATGTTACTTTGGATTTACTACACATGTTCTAGCAAACTGCAACATATATTTTTTTCCTATCGTACATGAAGTGTTTGGTGTGGAACTTTATTTTATATCCCATGCTCGTTAATTCCCTAAGCACAGCTCCCATTTTTCAACTGCTGCTTTGAGAAAAGGAGTTATTTGGTTTGATAATCCTTTCCCTCTCCTGACCTTGTTGCCCCAGGATATGAACAACTTCAATAAGCAATGCACAAGGGAAGTACTTTGTGTTTTGCCCGGAAAGCCACAGAATCTTTGAATGCAACAGACACTCTCTCAAGGTAAAAGACTATGTCCAAATTTTTTTTTGCTTGCCCAAATTTTTCCCCAGCTTTTCCTTTTCTCTCTCACTTTTCTTTTTCCAGAAAAATACCAAAAAATTAAACTAAAGGTTTATTCTCAGTATTATGCCCAAACCTACCTACAAACAATACATCAATATAAGACTAATTGTGCATAAAATTCAAATTCTATTGCACTGCCGCATAAAAATGCAAAATGCTACAGTGGTATAATGTCTAATGCTGAGCCCAGTTCCATAAGAGCTGCCCCAAGACAGCTTGTACAGATGCAATTATCTCTCACACACTCAAACTGCTTTCTTTCACAACATTACTTTTATTATGCAAATGTATAAATCTAATTTTAATCCAAAAGACCATCTAGAAGATTAAAACCGCACTCGTGTCTTACTTTCACTAAGTGTAATTAAAGATACTAAAAATGTTTTTCACTGGAGGAAGGATTTTAGCCACCAGGTCAAGAAACCACAAAGGGCGCCATGGAGCTGCCAAGCTGACTTCGCATTCATCTTCATTCTTGAGTGGTTCTGGTGAAGCAGAAGTGATAGAAAAATGAGCCACAGTAGCAGCAGTTTTCGGCAGAGGGCAGCAGATGCTCTTCACTTGGAAGAGACAGAAAGTCCTGGCAGAGCCTGAAGTGGTTCTGAATCCGCCGGGTCTGAAAGGTCATTTTGTTAATCACAAAAAGGCTGAAGATCTACAAGGTAGCAAGGACACAGATTGCCTGGTTTCACAGACATATGGTCACCGGCACAAGAATTTTTGGCAAGCCTGTAAAGCAAGCCTTTACAAAAACTGTCTTCATTAAAAAAAAAAAAAAAAAAAGAGTGACGCAATCTCGATGCCCAGAGTAGCTAAGGCCACCATAGGGAAAGTCATTTGCTAAGCTGCTTTTTTTTTTTTTTTCTTCTCCTTACTTTCCTGTTTTACTGTTCTATATCCAGGTAATGGTAGTTACAGCAGAAGTTTTTTATTTTTTTCAATAGGTCTATCAATAATTGTTACACTATAAACTTTTCATATGATAAAATTGGTAATAATGATATCTATATAACAATAACTAACATTTACAGGGTTCTTACTTGGTATCAGTTTAAGCTCTTTGTATAGATAGTTTTATTTTAAATCTCACAGTGACCCTGAAATATTACTATTACCATTTCCTAAATGAGAGAACTGAGGCTGAGAGAGCAATTTATCCAGTCACACTTGGTATGAAGCAGCAGTAGCCCTTGACTTGAATTGGGGTCTCTGAGACAGCAGAGTCTAGAACTGTACCCTCCAATATGGTAGCTGCAAGCCACAAGTGGTTATTTCAGTGCGTCTATGCTGAATGGAGAGAGGACTGTGAAATACATGCTGGATTTTGAAGACTCTGTGTGAAATCAGAAAGTATCTCAATAATTTTTACATCGATTACATGTTAAAATTATAATATTTTGGATGTATTAGGTTATATAAAATATATTATTAAAATTAACTTCACCTTTAATGTGGCTATTAGAAAGCTTACAATTCTATAATTGTATAATTGGTACACATTATTCTTTTTTTTTTTTTTTTTTTTTTTTTGGAGATGGAGTCTTGCTCTGTCTCCCAGGCTGGAGTGCAATGGTGTGATCTCAGCTCACTGCAACCTCCACCTCCTGAATTTGAACGATTCTCCTGCCTCAGCCTCCTGAAGTACCTGGGACTACAGGCATATGCCACCATGCCCAGCTAATTTTTTTTTTTTTTTTGTATTTTTAGTAGAGATGGGGTTTCACCATGTTGGCCAGGCTGGTCTTGAACTCCTGACCTCAGGTGATCCGCCCGCCTCGGCCTCCCAAAGTGCTGGGATTACAGGTGTGAGCCACTGTGCCCAGCTGGTACACATTATATTTCCATTGGTCCTGTTGGCTTTAGATCCTTGACTCCCACGCTGTACAGCCCATTGTCCCAAGACACCTTCTTCCTCGCCATTCTCAGGAAAATGAATGACGTTAAGGAATTCTGTAAAATTTCTCGACCTGAACCTTGGTAGTTCCTCTCACTGAATTGATTTGTTTGATAGGAATTATGTCGGATGTAGGTATCACATGGAATGGAAGGAGGACAGAATTCAGGGATAAGAGGGAAGAAACCACTACTAGCATCACCTCTCACTGTGTAGACAGGAACATCAGAGGAATCCGAATCTCCACTTTGCATCGACATTTCCTGGACAGGATTACCTCTCAACTTTAAGACTCCAACTTCTAGAGTTTACATAGATTATTGGTCAGGATAGTAACTAAGGGATCCAATGCGTGAATATTTGAACAACCTACAGTCATGGAAGGAAAATTTTTGTTTTGATTCATCTATGTTAAAAAACCTTCAAGCTCTTCTTGGCAAGCACTGGGCCAGAGACAACGTGTCTTTGGTTTACAGAGAAGTTTCCCCATCTTTTTCTTTTATCAGCACATCTCTTTCATTTCAACAAAGATTCTCAACCAGGAAATGGTCACCATGGAAGGCAGTGAGATGGAGGATAGGCTGTATAATTCCGATGACTATCCAGGGGGATTCTGGCAAGGTGCCTCCTGTCCACCTTTATGTTCGGTGCTTCAAGGGCTCACTTGAGTTTCTGCATTCTTCTGTTGATGCTTACCATCAATGCCCCTGACAGCCTGGGTGAGGGTGCAGGGGAGAGGCTCAAAGGGGCCAGGGTTTTGCTGTCTGTCATGTGCCACTCTATTAGTCAGGCTTCTCCAGAGAGACAGAAGCAATAGGATAGATCTTTAGGTAGATAAAGATACATATATGAGGGGAGATTTCTTAGAGGAATTGGCTCATGTGATGATGGAGGTTGACAAGTTCTAGGACAGGCCATCTACAAGCTGAAGACCCTGGGATGCTGGTCGTGTGGCTCAGTCCAAATCCCAAAACCTTGGAACCAGAGAAGCTGATAGTGTAATTCTCAGTCTGAGGCTGGTGGGGGTTGGGTGCTGATGAAAGTCCTTGAGTCCCAAGGCTGGGGGTCCTGGGGTCCTGATGTCCAAGGGCAGGAGGAGGAGAGTGTATCCCAGCTCCAGTAAAGAGAAACTAATTTGTTTTCCTTTGTTTTTCCTCTATATAGGCCCCCAGGAGCCTGAATGGGGCCCGTCCACATTAAGGGCTGATCTTCCCCTTCCCCAATCAATCCACTTGGACTCACATCCCAACCTCCTCTGGAAACACCCTCACAAACACACCCCAAAATAACACTATACCAGCTCTCTAGCTATTCCTTAATCCAGTCAAGTCGACACCTAAAATTAACCATTACAGCCGCACATTTTGGTTCATAGGAAAGAACTTTAAAGCTACTGATCTAGTTAACCTTGCTGGTCACCCATAAATGAGAAAGGATGTGAATCAAGGAGGAAGGAGACGTGCTCTACAACATAGGCCACCCACACTCACTCCTAGTATGTTACCAAGTGACAAATTCACACATCACATTCCATTGTAGAAAAAAAAGTCACTTCTTAATTTCCTCAATATCTGATCTCACCTTCCGCTTAAGCCACCCTCTGTTTTTCTCCCCAGAGAGGATGCCTTACCACGTGTATGCCGCCTATCTCAGTATCTGCTGGTGTAACGAGCGCTTTTGGTACCTGTTAGGCCCCCCGTCTCCAACTCCTCGCACCTCCTTTCCAAGGTGGTGACTGGGTCCTCATGGTGAGTGAGAGGAGGGGTCCCCAGGCTGTTTGCAGATGGGGGGCTGCCCTCTATTCCTCACCAGCTGCTGCAGTAGTGGTCTCCCTGTCACCACCTGCTCTGGCTGCTAACTTCTTTGAAAAGGGAAAGTTCTCTCTTTGCTTAGGGCTGTGTAGCCTCTGAAGATCTGGCCGCCATTCCCATTCAATTCCTGGGCACGCAGGTCTGCCCCGTAGGCTCTGATGGTAGGCTCCGTTTGCTCAGTAGCCAGCACCAGGCCTGCCCCTTTCCAGCGACCTCCCTGCCCCTCCCCAGGCCCCTAAAGGAGGTTCTGGGAGCTGTGCCCAGGCATTCTCTACCTGAAGCCACTGTGCTCCTGCCTGGCCACTGCTGCAGCCCCCAGCAGGAAGCAGAGCCACAAGCCCTCACCTCTCATCCTCCCCCACACTCTATGCAGCCTTCTTGTCATGGACACAGGTCTTCCCTCCACCCCACAGTCCATGTGAGCCTGAAAGAGAGGTTCTGTTCCTCTTCTGTCTCTTATCTGACCAGAGCTGCCACTACCTCATGCCCTCTCCTGGGATTGTATTAACTTTAGGCTTCTGGGAAAGTTGATTTATGAGGAAGAGGAAGAGTGAGAAAGAATTGGAGAAACAAAAGAAATCAGAGAACTTGACAATTTTCTTGTTCCTTCTGAAATGAATTTTCAAGGTGACTTATTATTCTGTTTAAAACACTAAATTCTCAGAATGCTATGTACTTCTTGGTGCTAACAAACTGAAAAAGAATCACACCTACATCAAACCTATGCAGTTTGGAAATCATCTGCTCTTGTGGCTCATCTGCGTTGCTCACTTGTCTTGGCAAAAGCATATCTGAGTTGGCAATGTCTCTTTTCTTTTCCGCTTTTTCTTAGGCTGTCTATTTCATGTGCTATAGCTATTTACAATAGATTGCATGAGCCCCAGCCTGTTTCTAAGAAAAAGATAATAGAAAAATGTGTATAAAATTGTAAAAATACAATCATGTACAAAGCCATAGTTAACACTCGAGAGCCTATGGGTGAGTCCACTGAGGGCACCTGCCAAGACCCTTAACCACAGAAGTCTGAGATATCCCCAAGCTGGGACTCCCATTACTTTCCCTATTCTGGCTCTCTGGTGTGCTTCCTACTATGATATCCTAGTTTTTCTGCCTCTCTTCAACCATGTTTTCCCTTAAAAAAGATGTATATACAGACATAAGTCTTGTAAGTGAATGCATAAATAATAGATACAAAAAGGATTTTATTGTAGTATTCCCTAGCAACACAAAAATATGGGTATATACACTTCCAGTGTCACATTATTCAGGATGTCTTTTTAAACAGTATAAATATTATCCTCAACTGTAAGCAAATATAGACCAGTAAGGGAGCGACAGACAGCTTTTTAAAAACTGCTTTTTTGAAAAGCTTATCCAAATCAAGCATTTGTTATCTTTTTGCAATGTCAACAGAGCTCTTGAATAAAATATTAGATTATGCCCCTGCTTTTTAATCTGAAAGTCATGTGGGTTTTGGTTTTGTCATAACTACCTTAGTGCCTGTGTATACTCTCTAACACCCATTATTTTCCTAATGATTTTATGAAACTACATTGGTTTTGCAGATGAGCCAAAAATGGGTAAAAAGGAAAGAATGAAGACATAAGTAAAACAGAAAACATGGCTTTGGCTAAGAAAGCACCTTTTCTTGCACTGTGCTTTAATATTCAGTAAACATTTGGTTACGGTTAAAAGAAATAAGAAATATGTATGTTTATATTGAACTGGCTAATTTAATGGCTGCTTTGACTTCTACTAAAGGGTCATCTAATATTTGATAATAAACACAACACATTAATTTTTCACTTTTCTTTGAATTACGGGAAGGAAGTCTTACTATGAAAAGCCTCATTATGAAAGGCCTCAGTCTGGTCTCAAATCCGCAGAAATTATACTCTTTCCTCTTGACATCTTGTAATAAATAAAACTGTTAATATTTTGACTTTAGACAAATTTCTCTTTTGCTTTCAGCAGCTAACAGTTACAAAAAGAGACAGTGCCACATTAGTTACAGTAATTTACTTTGGGGACACCAGCAGAAACACATAAAATTCATTAGTGGCGCCAAAAGCTATTTCCAGTTCTAATAAAAAGGCTAAACTACAATTTATGAAACGAGTCTTAAAACTTTCCTGAAGACAGAAGAGTTGAGATGATCTTTGGAATAACCAAAGCAAGAATCCCTACTGTACTTAAGCCAAAATGTTTGTTTTCACAATACCGTAACATAATGTGTTAACATTAAAATACTTTCTCATTGCCAAATGAATATAAACTGGGGAGATGCTCTCTCAGCTCATGCTCTTGGTCCATTAAGCCCGGGTTCCTGCCTCTGGCAGTGTTTCATGCTTCAAAGAAAGGCAACAACAACAAAAAAACCTTATAAGCAAAATTAGAATAAATCTACAGCTCTTATGATCAATCATGCAAGGTTAGCACTGGGAGAAAAACACATTCGCTTCTGTTTCCCATAGGAATCGCATGCCTCTGACTTTGAGACCTTGGGAAATACATTTTCATCCCACAGGAAACTCAAGGTTGCAGATGGACACACACATTCTACTAATATCATTTTTATTTAAACAGTTTGGTCTGATAATTTATTAAAAAGTGTTCCCTAAAGGAATGATGCTGCTACTAAAAACATTTTCCTGAATTACTTTTAATCTAAAAAGTGCTTGAGAAGAAAGCTGGAAGATACGATAGTTGAATTCCTACAGAAGCCTTGCCTTCTATTAATAATGAACACAAAATATTTGGAAAATAAGACAATGGAAATAAATTGAAATAAACAAGTTGGTCTGCACTGGTCTTTCTTAGAATACATTATGCCATTCAACACTTCTTATTTAGAAATGTCTTTTTCCAGGAAAAGTCCTATGCCCTTTTTAAAGTAGATGACTTTCAAGCTACTATAAAGACACATGCACATGTATGTTTATTGCAGCACTATTCACAATAGCGAAGACTTGGAGACAACCCAAATGTCCATCAATGATAGACTGGATTAAGAAAATATGGCACATATATACCATGCAATACTATGCAGCCATAAAAAAGGATGAGTTCATGTCCTTTGCTGGGACATGGATGAAGCTGGAAACCATCATTCTCAGCAAACTATCACAAGGACAGAAAACCAAACACCATGTGTTCTCACTCATAGGTGGGAGTTGAACAATGAGAACATATGGACAGAGGAAGGGGAACATCACACATCGGGGCTGGTTGGGGGATGGGGGCCTGGGGGAGGGATGGCATTAGGAGAAATACCTAACGTAAACGACGAGTTGATGGGGGCAGCAAACCAACATGGCACATGTACACCTATGTAACGAACCTGCATGTTGTGCACATGTACCCTAGAACTTAAAGTATAATTTTAAAAAATCAATAAAAAATAAAGTAGATGATTTCTCAATTATTTCTTCTGCATATAACCCATCGTTGAGGGGTAAGCGCAGAGGAGCAATGTGGCGGCTACGTAGAACCACTTCTTAAAGGGGAGAGTAACATCTAACACTCGTGCTAAGATTTCCATGCAATCATGTGCACAAATTGCCAGCTCAGGGCTCAGCACACAAGTGTAAAATTTAAAAATGCCAGAACATTTCTGCTCAGGCCTATTCATAGGCCAGGCCTCCTTAGGTTTATTGATACCCTTCCCTTAGTCACAAAATTTCCTTACAAAGGGCCTGTGGAATAGCAGTTGGAGGCCAAAGGTCTGGCCACCACCTAATAAGACCCCACCCAAAGTCATCCAGTATAAGAAGTTGGTTTCATTACAGTATAAAGTAAAATTAAAGGCTGATTAAAAGCAGCAGTTTACATCTGTACATCATCTGATCTAATTTCCTCATTCCTGATGAGGAAACTGGGCCGTAGACAGGCTAAACAAATTCCTCAGAAGTTAAGATCCTATATGTTCCTGGTGCGGTTCACTGTGTATTCCTCGCCGTGCACACAGTGTCAGGACAGGGCAGGCTCCAACTCCTTACTGTTTGGTGAACGAATAAGGAGGGAACCAGCCTGTTTTGGCGTAACCAGCTTACTGGCTGTGCGGCTGTTAGGATTCAGATTTCCTGTGGCTTTTTACTCTCTACTACACTTACCAAAGAAAGGATGGTTCTGGAAAGCATCACAGTGTGACACAGATCAAGTGCAGACCGAACTACCACCCATGTGTACACGAACAGGGGCCAGTGACTGATGATGCTTCAGGTCCCGTTAGTGGGCGCCAGTCCTTCCTTCAACCATTAAAGAAAAATAAAGGGAACACACTGATATTTTTTCCTTTCAACTGGGTGCTTGCTGACCTCAGAGTCCTAGGGCACATGTGGTTGCCAGACTGAAAGAACACGGAGCGTGTCTGGAGGATGCCGGCAAAGCTGAGAAGCCAAACTCTGGCTGCATCCACTGATATTTACAGCTTTGCCAGCCTAGGCTCTGCTCCCACCACTCTTGGGTCAGACCCGCAGACCCTGGCCAAATGATGGATGAACAAATGCACTCAGACACAGATATCTAGTGAAAGAGTGGGTTAGGGAACCGGGCCGCTTACAGACCCCAAGGAGGGTACTGTAAAGAGTCAGCAGCCACGGCTGGCTGGTGCCGCAGGCATTTATTCAGCACAAATTTAATGACAAAGGCTTTGAGTCAACACACTTGTGGATAATTAACATGGTCACCCTCCCCCCACCACCCAGAGCAGTCCTGCTCGCAGACGATTAAAGGCCAGGTTCTGGGGCCTAAGTAAACTCACTTATCTAGATCAGTTTCTTTACATCCCCTTGTTACCTAACCTAAGCTCTTAAGAGAATTCAGCTGCCTTCAGCCAAATTTTCTTTAGAAGCTTTGCAAACCCCTGGCCTTCCAAGGTTTGCATCTTTCTACAATTGTTCCCACCACCCTGACCAATCTCCTACACACCACAATATGCATTTTCTCAAGGCATTCTGCTGAAGGAGGTACAGCATCGGAGAAAAGCCTAGGAAACAGAGGGCCCCGACTGCCTTATCAGTCATGCTAAGATGATCTTACCAATAATGAAATAGGATCTACTATTATGTGATCTAATAAAGTTATACTTTTTTGATAAATAATTCAGCAAAGTTTCAGTTTTCTGAATCAAAGGGCAACTAAAGTACGTATTATTTTCTGAAAGAACTCTACCTACTTTACCAGAAAGAGAACACCATGGAATATGGTACACACATCACTGTGTCATGTGATGTACAGCCTTGGACTTTACATGCTACTTAAAATGGATTAAAAACAGTGTTTACTATAAAGAACAAGAGGAGTGTAGCAAGTGTCATCAAATGCTTTCATAAAGCCCATCGCCAGACAGTCAGTTACAAACACTGAGAAGACCTCCAAAGGTCTTTATTTGTGGCGGAGAGTTCTAGGAAAGATGGGTGGAACCCACACCAAAAGACGTGCTGCTCTTTGGGGAGAATGAGTGGTGTTTCATGTCTTTAGCTGTTGATATGTTTGATCCCCAATTCAGGGAGCAAATGGCCACATCTTTTGTGTGGACCCCATTGGTGCAGAGATGAGCCTGTTCTATGACTGCTTCCAATGCACCAGGGTGACTAGGATAACTCTCAGTGTATTTCTGCTACATCACCTTGCCCTTCATTCAGTAATGATACAAAGATGGAGGTTTTCAATTAAAAACTTCACTTAGGAATAAATTGTGTTTCATGGGTTTATGATGCCCTAAAATGTCTCTGAGAATTTACACTTCCTTTTTTATTTTTTATTTTTTGGCTTGTGGGTATTTGCTTTGTGGGCAGCTGCAAAATCGGTATTAGCCAAAACAAACTGATAATTAAACAAACAAACATGATGGTGTCATGTATCATGTCAATTAGAGTAATGTTGGAAAATGGAAGTATACAATACTTCTAAATATTGATTTATTGCTCTCCTTTTTCTTATTCTATAGAAAAACTAGATTAAAAAATCAATGTCATTTACATGATTTTAGTCCAATAAAGAGTGTAATAATTTGGCTGTTCAATTAATTTGGTTTGAAGAAATGAGTGTCTTAGTCTGCTCATCCTGCTGTAACAAGATACTATAGACTGGATGGCTTATAAGCCACGGAAATTTATTTCTCCAAGTCTGGAGGTTGCAAGGCCAAGATCAAGGTGATGGTGGAGTCTGTGTCTGATGAGTGCTGTCTTCTTGCTGTGTCTTCACACGGCAGAAGGGATGAGAGGGCTCTCTGAGTTCCCTTTTATAAGAACACTAATCCCATTCCTGAGATCTCTACCCTCATGACCTAATCACTTCCCAAAAGTCCCATCTCCTAATACCATCACCTTGAGGGTTAGGAGTTCACCATATACATTTTGGAGGGACACAAACCTTCAGTTCATAGCAGTGGGTAAACATTTAGTGCTTGAATATTTGCTAGTGAAAGGATTAAATTCCAACTAGCCAAGAAGGCCACAAGCCAGCCTTTGTAGAGAAGTAGAGACATAGCACTTAGAAGAGGGGGTCTGACATCTCCAGAGCTGCGCCAGCTCTTACTGCAGTACCGTTCATTGTTAATTAATGCATTCACTCATTCATTCAACAGACAGAATCGCGCAGGGCTACATTTGGCCCTGTGGGGATGTAGAGGCGCGTAATAGGCAGGCCCTTGAGGCAGGAAGCCAATGAGAGTGTACCATGCATGCAGATAACCAGAGTGCTGAGCAGGCAATGAAGAGAACCATTCGCAGGACACACAGCTTTAATTAAGTAATTTATAGTTACGGGAAATCTTCAATAATTGATATCTTGTAAGTGGGAGCTGAAACATAATGGGCAGGCAAAGGAGTGCAGAAGGCAGACACAGAGCTGGAAGACACTAGGCACTGAGGAAAACCAGCACCGAGGAATGGCGTCTTCGTGGAGCATGGACTGGATCAAGGGATGATGGAAGAGGTGGGGAAGGCAGGCTAGGGATGCTCATGCATCTGGGCTTTGTTCAGGAAGCAGGACAGACTCCTTGAAGGCGTTTGCTCAAAAATGGGACCTGATCAGACTGGTGTTTCAGAAAAATGACTCCTGTAGACATGAACAGGGTGATGTGGATCCAGGAGAAGTTTAGGGCAACGCTCTCAGCCAGCAGAATCTAACTGAGAAGCAAGGGAGGAGGTACTGACATCGGTTAGGGTGCAGTCAGGAGCGATTTCAGAAGCCGCACTACAAGCCTCTCCCCTGCACCCCGGCAGTTGCTGCCCAATCACCCCTCCCTTTCACCTCACCTCTCCCAACCCAGGCTCCACATTCCATCAGTCACCGTTTAACAGGCATCCACATTTAGCCCTTCTGCTTAAAACCTCCACTACTTGACCCGTGAAGTCAGATTATCCAGTGGTCACAAAAGGCACCCTATACATGACTCTGCCAACCTCCCACCTCCTGTCTTGCCCTTCCCAGGCTGGCCCTGAACCACGGACGCTTTTTTAATGTTTTCCATCCTGGTATTCTCACCCAACCATCCTCCGCACTCTCGCTCTGCCTGCCTCCTTCCCCACCCACCTAGCAAATGCCAATTTGATCTTCAGGAAGATGCTGCACATAAGCTCGTGCTGAAGAATCCAGTTAATGTGAGTGGAGCAGACCTAAAATCTTGGGGCGATAGTGGTTACCTAGTGACCCACATCTTTGTGATTTGCTAATGCTGATAAAAGCTTTGTTGACAAGCCCTTTCAAAGGCACTCTGCTTCCACTCTGTGACAATAGCGCCAGGTCTGAGTCTCTAGCTTAAGGGTTTGTGAAATGCTTTCAGGTTTTTCACTGAAGGAGTTCACAAGCTTTGGTGCACCCTGAGTTGAGCTGTGTCAATGAGCTCACATAGCGTTCATTGTGCTTACACACCCACGGTATCATAATAACAGAAGCCTTTTCAATTTTCAATTTGATTGAATTTCACCCTGAAAAGGCATAGGTTTTTACTGTGTACTAGAGTAAGTCCCACTCTTCCTTGGGAAACTCATAATATAATATGAAAGCAGAGCCTTTAGGGTCTGAAAAATTGAGCTTTGAAGGTCTGACAACACCTACCATCTACCCAAGGAACTGCCGAGCACCCACCAATAACTCCCTAGTTTGAAAACGTGGCCAATCAGCGCAACTCTCTGAGGCTCAGCTTCCCTGTAGAGCCGTAGATGAGATGCTTTGAAGTAACTGGCACTTGGGTGACACACACGGTATGTCCCCAATAAATGGAAGTTACCATTGACATAGTTTATACTGTCATCATAATAGAATTTCAGAACTGAAATTAAATAAACCAAATTTATTTAATTTAATGAGTTTCCAAAAGCAGAGAGTATCTTAAATCTTCCTGTACTTCCAAGAATTACATTGTTTTAAGATGTCTTTTAAAGCAGTTTCAGAAGTACCAGTGTGTTGCCATTTACCAGAGTCAAATTCAAACTTTCACAAATTCATCATCTTTAAGTTATGGCGCTCTCTGGATACCCTCTCCGCAGGCATCCACGGTTTTCTCTTGTCATCATCATCATCAGTGAAGATGTTTGTCCCCCACCATGTCTAGGGCCCTAGACTAGGCACTCAGGAAGAGAAGCAGTGATGAATCAAAAAAGACACGTGGTTCTCTGCCAGCAAAGGGCTTGTAAAAGACCACACAGTGACAGTCAACCACTTGGGAAAGAACCACATGACACAGGAAGTTCGAGTGTCTAAATACAAAAACGGTTTTCTTCCAAAATGTTAGTCACAGATAAAATAGGATACAGACAAAAACAATCCTTTAAGGGCTGTTTGCATCCCCAGGGGTGTTTGCGGGCAGCACTACCCCAGAAGGGTGGGGCCACGCTTTCTAGGCAGGCTGCTCCTGCTACCCTCTTGGAACTTTGTGCTCCCAGCCACAGCCATGGAAGAGGAAGAGAGGGTGGGAGCCCAGCAATGGTTGATTGGGGGTGAGTACATCAGAATAACTCTGCCGTAGCAGACAGGAGTGCCCACCATGTGCCATGCATGAGCTAGTGCTTACTGAAAGCCTTCAACATTGTGGGATTCCATAGATAGAATTTTTTCTGAGAAACAGTTTTCTGATGGTTGTAAAGGAAACAAATTCTTTACCAAGCATTTAACATCTGCAAAGCACTAGAGTACCAATAAGCTCTACAAGACCCGAAATACACTAGAGTACCAGTAAATCATGCAAGACTCACAAGTAGCTCAGTCAGACTGGTAAGAGACAAGACAGGAGAAGAGTAGCTTTGCCACGTGTTTTATGCAAAGTGTCAAGTGACAGGTGCAACAAATCCATGGCACAAATATCACAGGCCCTCAAAAGCAATGAGTGTAAATAGAAAATAAAATAATCTGGAAAAATAATTGCCTATGGCATAAGGCATCTTATTTATTTAAAAATGTATCCATCATAATATGAGGATGACTTCAGGCTATGAGGAATTTATTGGACAGTTTTCATTCAATGGGGAGATAAAAACGCTTTTTGAAATGTCTTGCTATCTGTAGTTAGAGGAATATCCTCCTCTTCTTACATTTCTATTTCATTTTCTATATGCAGTTGCTAGGGGTACGCACACACCCAGACAAACACACACACACACACACACACCCCACACACACACATTCCTCAGGGCTTTTTATTCATTGGAAATTTGCCATAGCTAAACACAGCCACTGAAATAAAAACATATCCTGACATGCATTCTTACCCAATTTATCCCATTTAGGACTGTAGAAAGTATCTGGGAAGAAAAACTAATAAAAAAATGTGTAAGTCGTTAACTATTTCTTGTTGAGTTCTTTTCCCCCCAGCAGTACATTAAAATGGTCTGTACAAATTGATAGCTTCAGCATTCAAAGTGCATTAAAATAAGCCAAACCAAGACTGTGCACCAATGTCAGAGAGCAGCTCCTGTTTCCAATTAAAAGAGACTTTCCAGTGGAACTGATGAGTCATGGCTCAACATGGCAGAGAGGTCTTATTTATTTTTTTCAAATTTTCTTTTTAGTTTTAATGATAGTCACAGCGTCACACATTTTTGTTCATTAGCATAGATGGGGCCTAAGGTTACAAAAGCTGTGGTAAGAATCGTCCTTAATTGCAAGGGTTATTCTAGGATTTACATGAGAAAAAAAACCCCATAAATGGCAACCCAGGCAGACACAGGCATCTGTGAGCATCTTATAAAATATCTGTAACTATAGTGTAAATGGCAAAACGTTATCTAGTCTTTTACTTAATATGACATTTGGGTGAAATTGCATCTTGATTCATTTGATCTTGCTGTTTTTCTTTAATATGAAATTAGAAAAAAGTAGTTTCACTTTTGTTTTTAGTCACATTTTGAAATAATAGAAGTCAAAATAAATCCAGTTGTCTGAAAAATGTATCTGTTTCTAAATATTCTATAAACCATTGGAAACTGTATTAGTCCATTCTCACACTGCTAATAAAGACATGCTCAAGACTGGGTAATTTATAAAGGAAAGAGATTTAATTTATTCACAGTTCCACAGCTCTGGGGAGGCCTCAGGAAACTTACAATCATGGCAGAAGGGAAAGCAAACATGTCCTTCTTCACACGGAGGCAGCAAGGAGAAGTACAGAGCAAAGGTGGGGGATACCCCTTATAAAACCAAATCTCGTGAGAACTCACTCACTATCATGAGAATAGCATGGAAGTAAACACTCCCATGATTCAATTACCTCCCACTAGGTCCCTCCCATGACACATGGGGATAATGGGAAGTACAATTCAAGATGAGATTTGGGTGGGGACACAGTCAAACCATATCAGAAGCTTTGCAGATCATTGTCTCTCTCTGTTAGACCTATGATTATCTAATTAAATTTCTATTCCAGGCTTTGCTGTACAAACAATACTGTATTCATTTGGCACAATAAAAATTAAAACAGAAATATTTGTCCCGGAAAATGTAAAGGTATGAAATACCTTTCAGAAAAAATGCATGTGTATTTGTGTGCATGTCTGACTGCACACACATACACATACACTCCCAAAGGAGATAATTTAGTTGGTTTTCTTTGTTTTCTGATTGCCAAATAAATTTCTCTGCTGAATACATTGCAAGTCTACCCTCATGATTCCAGTTTGTCATACTGTGTTTTTATATTCCTTCCAATTGAGGATGTTATGCCTAAACATACAATGTTCCAAAGAGTCTACTTCACTTCATACTATATTCCCCTTAGCAACATTGAATCCTTAAGACATCCGTTAAAAGTCAGGAGCATTCAGTTAACAGCTTAATAGGGTTGGGATCTGTAGAAATTTATCAAACAAATTAACATTATTGACTTTTAAACAGACACTGTAGACAGTTTCAAAGAATATCACGAGGATTTTGTAAAAGCCACATCATACTGTGGATATTAAATATTCCTGGTGGAATAAGATAGCTGGCACAGTTAAAAGAAACTGAGATATTGCAAGGCCAGGAGCACTGCTCTCCTCTGTTGCCCATGAATCTTCTAAGGAAAGAAAAGTGCTTTCTTGCCACTTCAGAGTTGTTTTTGGTTTCCTGAAACTGTCATAATTTAATTAAAGCACTCAGTGTCCTGCATATGTGACACCATCTAGTTGACAGAATCATTCCACTCGATTTTTCTAACAGGGGACAAGATGCAGGTGCCAGGCAGCTGCTCATACAGTATGAGAATGGGAGGGGCCTCTGTCCAAAATGTCTCCTGTCAGACGAATTAAAATGATTATGGGCTAAAGCTGGGTGCTAAAAATGTGTCTGTGTGTACGTCACATGAGGAGGGGGCTTTAACCAAATGGAAAACTTAAACACACACACACACACACACACACACACACACACACACACATCCCCCACCCCCTAAAACCCAAGCAACTTTTTGGGACTCCTAAGACTGTAAGTGAGTTATCGTTACTGATGGGAATGGGTTCTGTCCCATAGGTGAGTCAGAACGGAGAAACGGATGCCTGTGGCAAGGCAGTGTTGTCAGAGACAGAAAGCACATCCCCTTGTCGGCCTGTAACCACAAGGTCTGGATGAGCTGAATAAAAAGAATAGTAGACACCCCTGGTGAGCGTCCCCGCAGATGGGCTCAGTCCCCCTGAAGGCCTGTAGCAGGGCAGCGGGAGGGCCTTCTCAGGCTGAGTGGGACCTTTCCATAGGCAGACGGTGCTCTGAGCCTCCTGTATACAGTAGAATGGGCTCAGCACTGACCTGTGGCAACTCATGTAATCCCCACAAGTATCTCCATCTTACAGACAAGAAAGTGTGTTCTTAGGAAAGCTAAGCAACTTGCTGCAGGTCACACAGCTAGTAAGCACTAGGGTGTTTCCAAAGCCTAACTGTTCAATAGCACTCTTACTTTCTACTCAACTCACCCCAAGAACAGGCACGAGGACTCAAGGAGAGCTGGGGATCACCTGGACACGAGGATGGAAGTTGAGGTGGGCTCGCCATCCTTTGGGGTTGGTCTTCCCAGGAGAGAAGAGCCGTGGAATTTACCTGGAGATGCTCTGTCTTGGGCCTCACCAATTTCGAATTTGTTCATCATAGGCTGCCCTCCACATTAGTAGGCTTCAAGCAGGTCATAAGAACTCAAAAAAGTCCAACTAATCAACAAATGCGAGTACTTTCCCTTTTAAAATACTTTTTCACAATTGAGAGAAAGGAAGAGAAGAGTTAAGGATCTGCTGAGTGTGGCATTTCCTCAGAACTTCTGTATGTCTTCTCCCTAGAGCAAGCTGTGGGCTTCGCATAGCATCCCTGTTCTCACCCCAAAGAACCCGAGGCCAGGACAGTGATGTTGAAGCGGGCAGACGGTGAGGCCGATGCTCCTTCCTCAGGGCCGTAATTAAAACGGGAGACTTAGGAGCTGGCAGAATCCTTGGGAATCATTTTGTCTGACCTCCTTATTGGAGATACCATGGCCAGTGATAGTTGATAATTTACCAAACCCCAAATTCCTTAGTGGTGAAGTAGAAAAAAGAGTAGATTTCTGGTTTCTAATCCAGATCTCTGTTCCTTATGCTGTAAATAAGGTGCAAACAAACAAAAAACATCAACCAGAAAAATTTAAAAGCCAAAGAGAAATCATTTTGGAATATAGTAGAATCGCTTCTCTACATAACTGACTATAATCAAAGAACAGGTAGACTCCTGTTCAAATGAATACTGTTAGAACATCTGGTCTTATAAAATGAGCCTATTTACATGTGCTGACAGATGGCCCACAGTGAAAATGCTTTGCTAGTCTGATTACAACAAATCCTAATAAACCCGAATCCTCTCTCAGGTGCCTTCCTCAGCCCCCATTCATGTGAGAGGCAATCTCTATTACAAGGACATCGGTGTGCAGGCATTTTTCAATAATTTGCCATACAACTCTATCTGAGCATCATCAGACGCACTACATTGAAAGAATCCCGGATTTTATGCAAAGCTATCTTCATTGGGTTTTATTTTGCTGCTTTTTTTCCTGGAGGAGGGGCCCGGTGGAAGGAGGTTGACAGCTGCAGAGGCAGTGACTCAGTGAAAAGTGGAGAGTTCCAGAGTCCCAGGTAGGTGAAGAGCTTGGGGGCCGTTGAATTGGTGGGGGATTAATGATCAAGGAAATCTCAGAACTTTAAGTAACTAACGCACTTCCCTAGACAATCCTGAAAGAGCTCTAATTAAAAATAAAGTAAATGTGTCCAGGCTTTTTTGATATTTCATCAAATTTTTGCAGGAGGGGAAGTGCTTGTAAGAGCCCACCAAGGGCTGAATGTGAAGACAGGTGCCCCTTCATCCACACATGCCCCAGGGCTGTGTCCTCAACCCTGACACCCTGCAACCTCCTTCAGTCCTCTCCATCCTGGTGCCCCCGAAACATGAGTCTCCCATCTCGAGTCTCCCAGGCACTATGAGCAGGCCGTTGTGCTGAGGGCAGCACAGAGCTAGAGACAAGGCCACCCTGACAAGGCACTGTGCTGGGCATGTGATGTGCTGGGCACATGACAGCACTCACTATGTCAGCACAGGACAGCCTAGGGGAGCCGCATGTCCACTGCCCCTGCTCTATCCACAGCTCTGTGCAGGATGTGCATATTTGTCTCCCAGCCCTGATTTGTGGGCAGGAGGCTCAGAGAAAGGGCTGGCAGGGGCCAGAGGGCAGGAGCAGCGGGCAAGGCTCTCCCTGCCACCTCTCGCAAGGGGGCTGTCCATTCCGGAGACACTGGGCCGGACCTCTGTGGATATAATCCCCTGTCTTTCAGGCTGCTGCTGCAGCTGCTGGTGAACAGTCATGGCATGGGGGCTGCTGTGAGTGAAAGCAGGGAGCGTGGTCCTTAATGCACATGCGGGAGTGCCCCTTTGATACAGAGTTCCCCTGACTTAACTATTTGCAACGAAAGAGCCACTTGCTCCTGTTTCGGAATGCCCATGGGAAGGATGGAAATGCCAAAGAGCAAACTCACAAAGCCACTGTGGGAGGCTGAGGCAGGATGATCGCTTGAGGCAGGAGTTCAAGACCAGCCAGGGAAACATAGCCAGACCCTGTCTCTATGTATATATAAAAAAAATACAAAGTCGAGATTAAACAGGAGGCCCAACAGAAATACAGGCCTGTGGTCCACACAGGATGTTTACAGGCTGTTTCAGAGCTTCAGTCCGACCTACAGAAAGGCAGGAGGAGGGATGACCGGCCGCACGTCAACAGCTGTAAGCACACTGGAGAACTGCCTGAGCGCTCAGGTCTGTTCATGTTCATTTTAGATGAAGTTTTGCAGAAAAAGAACACCTGTTACCAAAAGTGCCACGCCATCACATAAAATGCCTCATCAGAATGTATCAGCCACTGCAGCTCTGAGAGGCTGATGGAGCACGACCTCATAAAAGGCTTGAAATGAAGCTTAAAGTAAATCCCTGTTGGTGGAAGAGGTAAGATGTTTTTATAAACCGCTAAATCATGCTGAAATTGGAAGTGTGTCTGCTGAGGATCTGAGGTTTTTCTAAGGTATTCATGCATGTAGGAAATGCTTCTGAGGGTCCCTTCACCTTGGTGACACCATGCTTCTGCACCGCCACTTAAATGTACTAGGTGTGACTTGGGAGTCCATTAACGCCTGGCAGGCAAGGAGGTTACATCATGGGAATCCATTTCATTACCATAAATAAATGTCATATGGCTGCCATACATTTTATTGATTAAACTGTCAAGAACAAAATTGTGTAAGAACAAAAACTTTTTATTCCTGTGGCAAAAAAAAAAAGGAGGGAAAGAAAAAGAAATGAAAATATCTACATAATTTAATGTCTCTGGCCCTCTAACTTCTTACCCAGAATAAAAGAACAAAGCCCAGCTTACTGCTCCCTTGGAGGCTGCAGCACGACCTGCCTTTCGTGTTTCTACAGAACAAGGTAGCCTTTTCTCCTCTGCGTTCCCAGGCCTGTTGTCAACTCTAAAGAATTGCTTAAAAGCACCTCTTCAGGTAGTAGAGCTTATCTTGAGATGAAACTAAAAAATAGACTCATTTGCCTTTTATCCTTAAAAAAAAAAAAAAAAACTTACAGGTTGGTAAAAAGTTAAGTTCTTTGGATTGGCCCCAATTCTGTTTAGGATACAGTTTTTCTGCTTCCCTTACTTGAGAGCAAATAGCTGTTGACCTAGAGGCAAAATTTGGGCGTGCTCCCAGAGGGGAGGTGGCCCAATCCAAGGTGACTGATCCCAAGTGTGACTGGGGCAAAGGTCTTGATCCCAGGTTTCCTGTCAAAATAGCTAGAGGTAGAGTTGGCTTTCCATACAGTCTTAAACTTTTTTCTCTTGTGCTTGCTTTTATTTTTCTATCCCCTTATTGGGCCAGGGTATTTTTTTTCAGTCCAAGGACAAACAATGCCTCCCACCATCACAGATAATAATTACAAAACTTTACCTTTGCACAGAGCCTTGCAGTCTGCAGTGATATTCACCCCTGGTTTTTTTTTTTCGAGACTGAATCTCTCTCTTTTGCCCAGGCTGGAGTGCAGTGGCACGATCTCAGCTCACTGCAACCTCCACCTGCTGGGTTGAAGCCATTCTCGTGCCTCAGCCTCCTGAGTAGCTGGGACTACAGGCACATGCCACCATGCCAGGCTAAATTTTTTTGTGTTTCAGTAGAGATGGGGTTTCACCATGTTGCCCAGGGTAGTCTCGAACTCCTCAGCTCAGGCAATCTTCCTGCCTCGGCGTCCCAAAGTGCTAGGATTACAGGTGTGAGCCATCGTGTCCGGCCACACTGCTGATTTTCTTAAACAATCTTGTCCATCTATGAAGGCATTATTTATCCCTGATTTACAAATGAGACAGAGGCTCAGAGAATGACTTGGCAGAGGTCAAATGCCAGGAAGTCCTACAGCTGGGACTAGAAATCCCTAGTAATATGGTTTGACTATGTCCCCACTCAAATCTCATCTTGAATTGTAGTTCCCATAATCCCCATGTGTTGTGGGAGGGACCCAGTGGGAGGTAATTTAACCATGGGGGCAGTTACCCTCATGCTGTTTTTGTAATAGTGAGTGAGTTCTCACGAGATCTGATTTTTTTTTTTTTTTTTTTTTGAGACAGACTCTCACTCTTTCAGCCAGGCTGGAGTGCAGTGGCACGATCTCGGCTTACTGCAACCTCCACCTCCCGGGCTCATGCAATTCTCCTGCCTCAGCCTCCTGAGAAGCTGGGATTACAGGCGTGTGCCACCATACCTAGCTAATTTCTGTATTTTTAGTACAGACGGGGTTTCACCATGTTGGCTGCGCTGGTCTCAAACTCCTGACCTCAGGTAATCCACCTGCCTCAGTCTCCCAAAGTGCTGGGATTACAGGCGTGAACCACTGTGCCCAGCCGATCTGACGGTTTTTCCCCCTTTTGCTCGGCACTTCTCCTTGCTGCCGCCATGTGAAGAAGGACATGTTTGCTTTCCCTTCCGCCATAAGTGTAAGTTTCCTGAGGTCTCTCCAGCCCTGTGGAACTTTGAGTCAATTAAAGCTCTTTCCTTTATAAATTAGCCAGTCTCAGGTACAACTTTATTAGCAGTGTGAGAATGGACAAATAGACCTAGTCTCCAAGTGCAGAGCTCCTTCTAGACTCTGCTGTGGTCAAATGACCATTGGGGATCAGTCCAATGACCATACAGGATCGAGTACGTTCACATCTTGAAAAGCAATTGTTAGCGCAACGTCGGCACACTCTCTTTTCTGGCTTCATCTTTCCCCATGGAGGGTCACCAGGTAGCAGAAACACTCCTGGCCTCGCCTGTACTCCTCACTCCCTCTTCCCCAGGAAAGGAAAAAGGAGTGTTTGAAATTTGGGAGCTAAACCTGGTGGTAATGCTCAGCCCTGGTCCTCCCACCTCCTCAACCCTGTTTGCCTGCACTGTACGCTGCCTGGACTGCACCTCCGGGAAATATGTTTGCTAGAGACAGCCCAGCCCCGATCCAGCCCCATGGAGAGGGAGGCCTCAGGTGTCTGCCCTGCACAGGACTAGAGTGAGAGCCAGCACCAACCCTCTGTGTATCTTTGCCACATTCTCCATTATTAGTCTTTTTAGTCACAGTCAACTCTGTCTCAGTTGGTTCAGAACTCAGGCAAGGAGGAGGGGCTATTTATTGGATTCCCTCATCCTGTAACACAAAGCAGTTGATATTTTTGCACAAGGCGCAATGCCTACCACCCCATCAAATTCTGCTCTGTGGGGGACTGCTGACTGTGCTACTCAGAATACCATGAGGCTGCTTCTAGTAAAATTCTTTCCCAGATGACTAGGGGCTCCAGAGAGATTTCATTCAAAACTGTTGGCAAGTCCCCAGGGGGCTTGAGTCCTTCAAGAACCAGAGCTCTTTTAACGTCTCCTGGGGACTGCAGTGGTCTTGTGCTTAGGCTAACCAGCACTGTATGTATTTTATTCTTCTTTCACACTTTTTGTTTATTTCCAACCACTTAATCCTTTTTCCATTAAAATTATGCAAAAGCCTCACTTTCCTCATTCATATGAAAATACTTTTTCTTCTCTTCCACCCCCAGTTTTCTGGTTGTAGTTTTACTCCTAAAATCAGCAAGACTTGTTTCACATAATGAAAGAAGCTATTATACGTCTTAAAAACTTGCTTTTCATTAGCTTCTAAAACATATACAGATAAAGTGAAAATTCCAAAACTTTATGGAGCATTTTAGTTTTATGTGGTCTGGAAGGCACTCACTGGGGTAGTCTTGGAGCACATATGGGCACCTGGGCAGCTGCTTATGCTTAGCTGTGTCGCACAGACAGATGTGATTATTAGTGTCAATTAGTCTCAACTGGTATGAAACAAGAGACAACGAGATATGGAATACAAAATATTGGCCTACATAATAGGTTACCTCTTCAGCTTGAGAATAAAAAGGGAGTATATCCCACTGGGACTCTGGCAGCAGTGGTCGACATCCTATTTTTTGACCAGGCTTGAGTTGACAGACTCAGCCACGGCCTTTACCACCGAGGTTTCTTTCAGGAAAGGAAAGACACCAAGTGAAGGGAAACTATTCAGGCTGGTGGCACCAACAGCAACAGCCACATCCTCCCCAGAACTAACACAGAATTGCTGTATTTTACACAGTTTTCTCAGGTTAGTGTGATCAACTGGAGAAAAAAAGCTAACAATTATATTTCTGAGGGATGGAAATAAAGTTTAAAGGGTGCTGTGCTGAATAAATTAACTTTATAGGAAGGGTACGTCCAGTGATCTTTCGAAGCCCTGAGCTCAGCAAGAAGGCTGGAAAGCCGGCTCCCTGCAGGAATGAAGCCACCTTTGCGAAAGTATAACTGAGAAAATTATTATAGTGAAAGAGATCTGACCAAACCAACTCCATCTTCCTTCTCATCTCCAAGCTATCATTGTTCATTCCCGGGCATAGGACAAACTGACTTTGGGAGAAACTTAGTTGATAAAATAACTTTGAAACAAAGACGGTAACAGCCCTTTTCCAAAACAAACCCCCTTCCTGCCTAGGGACTAGACTGCTTTTGCAGGACACAATAAATTAGCTACAAGGTTAGAAATGATGGTTTAGGAGTCATGCAGCTGGAGGCTGCAAAATTCTCAACCTTCTGAAATTGCTCCTGGGTATAACATCATTATTGTAAAACCTAAAATCTGTGCTTGAGAGATTTTGCTGACCCTGCATTCAATGGATCAGTTGGGACCACCCAGATGGATAAAGTGGCTCATCTGGTCAGAAAATGACTCAGCACAAGAGGGCAGCTTTGATTTCATTTCTCCCTATGATTTCATTTCTGACCAAACCAATCAGCTCCCCACTTTTCAACTTCTTACCTACCAAATTATCCTTAAAAGTCCCATCCCCGAGTTTTCTGGGAGACTGACAGAGTAATAATAAAACTCTGGTCTCCCGTACAGCCAGATCTGTGTGAATGAAACTCTTTCTCTATTGCAATTCCCCAGCCTTGATAAATCGGCTCTGTCTAGGCAATGGGCAAGGAGAACCCATTGGGCAGTATAGGATGAGGAACTCAAACTCTTCATCTGATATTTTGCATCATATTCAGAATACTTTCACAGCCCCAGGCAAAAAGGAGTGTAACAAAGGCAAAGTGCCCTGTGGCGCTTAAAGCTTCTGTGCCATACACCATCCTGATGGGCTGGGTAGTACCATTCCTGTAAATTCCCTTGCAGACAACATTAAAAGGCAGGCCACCTACCAATGAACCAAGCTCATTACCAAACATTTCCCAACAATGTTGAAGTTTCTGCTAGTGTAAAGAGTTTACATACTTCTTTTCCCCTCCAGTGTGGGGAAGCAATTCTCTAAGAAAGAAGTTTAATTTATGAATGTCTGGCTGCCACAAAATAATAAGGATTTTCCCCCACTACTGTAGATTAAATTATCTTATGAAATGGATTAGAAAGCAAAGGGTCTGTCTTATTTAAAATAATAAAAAGAAAAAATCTTTCCAAGCTGATTTGAAAATCTACCTAGAAGTCATTTAGCTGTCTGTTCCTTTTGTTTTAGTATTTCCATCTATCAGGGAATTAGTTTTGTCCATAAATGTAATCAATATGGAATATAAAGTCATCAAATTAAAAAATAGATTTAGAGTTTTCATGATAAAGTGTACCTTTAACTTGAGTTAATACAAATGTAAATTAGATATAGATATTTGATGCCTTGCTTATTGCATTTCTTTGGTATGTGACAGAAAAATGATCACAGTGCTTATTTTAATTAAAAATTTGTTCTCTTTCTAGAATTATTGTGATATTTATGGACTGTAATAGAGAATTTCTGATGTATACAAGAACACAATATCCTCTTTCATTCTGGAAATCAAAAGGAAGATCAAAGGAGTCTTAACTGAGTTACTAGTCAATCACTTTTTAAAAAAAGACAAAAAATAAGGTGTCAGGTGTAACAGAGAGGTCTAAGAAGTCAGTGGAGGTATACACATACTAAGTACCCACAAAAATTTTAAAAACTACAACAACAATAACAACAACAAAAAGTCAGTGGAGGAATTGGGAGAAGTTGGAAAAAAGAAAAGCCAAAATAAGAATTTCTGGTGAGAAGAGAGGCAGAGCCAAGGATAGAAGGAACTCCTTACTATGATGTAAATGTGGTGGGTTAATCAGAAAATTGATGCATGTTTTATTATTTTTAAAAACATTTAAACATACACTTATATAGCAATCTTTTAATGGAAGATCAAAGCCTGTTTTATTTTTTAAAGCATAGATCTACTTCTTGGAGTGTCCAGTCATCATTCTTTTAAATCAGTCTTTCTAGTTTCTGGTTTCAATTTCTTTAAAGTAAAACTAGGACATAAGGACAGTAACAATGCAATCTGAAGTCAGAATTGGTTTCGAGTTTTAGATTCTTTCATTTTTATAGTAATTCTGCATGCAAATAGCTCAACAATAGTTTTCTAATAAGCCTGCTTTATTAAATCTTTGCAAATCACTCAACTTAGTTTTTTGTAGAAACACTTCTTTTTTCATTGATGGTTTCCTGGCTTACTTGATTTTTTTAATTAAATTAAGAAATCCATATTAAGCACAACTAGTAAAAACAGGTCTGCAAAGGAACACAACTGACTTGTTAAAACACACAATTAAACCGGAGGGAGGAGAAATGCTGAAGCTCTCTAGTCTCAAATATTTAGCATGCTATGGACATCACTAGGGATGTATTTCAGAGGAACTGAAGGATGTTGGTTAACTTGTGAGCCTCTTCTATATACATTGCTAGGAGAACATTTTTTATGCTACTAAATTTAGATAACTCAAATTCAATAGTGTTTACTCTCGGAAAAATAATATATTCTAAATGGACATCTTTAACCAAAAAGTTAAATTCATTTAAACATAGGCCAGTGAACAGATATTAAGAAGTGTATATTGCAATCTACTTTATTTAGGTATTCCAAAGATGTCATATAACTATCTCTCAATAGCTAAGATGATTCAGTTCTTAAACCTGGCTAACGCATTAGATAGAGAGGGACATCAGTGTCATCTCAAAAATTATCTGAATCTTGAGTTTTATACCATCTATTCTCATTAATCTCTCTCGACCCACTTTTTACTACTAAAACAAGTAAAATTTTTTTTAAAAAAACTTTCATATTAGGCATAATAATAACAACAATGACATTTACAAAATTACTTCCATGGCATAAAGTACTTTCTCCAGTATTATTTATTTCATTAGCATTGATTGAATGTCTGTTATATGCCAGTTTGACATGTGAATTTTTTTTAGCCTGTCTTAAGATATCTTGGTGGGGGGGGCCACAGTTCATCAATGCCAGAGGAGCAAGTAAAAAACTATTAACTTCAGTAGCTGCTTCTTGTGACAACTGGTAGGGTCCCGCAGGAAGGAGAATCTTTCCTCCAAGGTGGCTCACCTCCAATCTCAGAGGGAAAAAGCATAGTCTTTTTGAGAGGGGTTCTAACTCTTGGCTGTGAGCAATGAGGGATGCTTGGAGTCAGCTAATTAGGAGGCTTAAAATTTGGAAAACCCAAATTCCCTGACCCAAACTAACCAGACTGTTGGGTGCAAAGTTAGGGATTCACTCAGGTTAGGGCATTTATCTACAGATTGATCATCCATAAAAATGGTATCTGGATCAGGCTAGGAAATGCATGTCAGTTTTGAAAGACATGACTCATCTTGCTGTTATTGTATGTGAGAGAGTTGCATATTAGTTAAGGATAGTCTTTGAAGGTTTATAAATGGGAAGAAAGTACATTTGGATTCTGTCTGTCCTCCCTGGAAGAGGTGGTAGACACGTGGATTTCGCCTGCCTGGCATGTCTTCCGGCAGCTACATCTTTCCCTGCCCTTAGTTCGTTTGATTCAAGTGGGCTTGTCTCATCTCCCAGGTCCAAGTGTGGGCGCCTGACCTAGGCACTGCCATTCAGATCTCTCATGTCTTCATGGCGTCTGTTGGCTTGGACATATGGTTTTGGCTAAGCCAGGGAAATATAGATAGGGAACTACCTGTGCTCATCTCTGCTACCACCTGGGGAGAGAGTCTATTTGAGAGCAGTAAACATGGCATGAGAGCCGAGTGAAGGGAAGACAGACAGCTTCGAGACGTCATTTGAGGACATGCACCCAGGCAGGCCAACAGCCAAGGCTGCCCGAAATGACTCAGCTGCACAAATAATTCTCTTTTTTGTTAAAGCTAACTTTAGTTGGATTCTATTACAATGGAGATCATCCTGACTAATAAAACCAGACTGGAAGCAGAAGTAGGGGTAAGACCTAGAATCTGTCCTTGCCAACCTGCATATCATTTATCCTTATAGCCAACCCAGGAGTGAGTAGAATTGGTTAGATTTTGTTTCTGTGACATTTTATCAATAAGAAAAAAAAATTCAAAGATGGGAAGCCAATGGTCCAATATTAGATGGTTAATATTTGGCAGAGCAGTGACTAAAACCCAAGTATTCTGACTCTACTTCCTACTATAATTGTGCAAAATATATGACTGATGATGTTTCAAAATCTTACGGAATAATCTCAGGACTAATTTCCTCAATAAATAGCCAAAAAAAAAAAAAAATGAATTACGGAAACATACTAACCGATATTTGGGGATGTAGATGCTTAACTTAAACCACAGATACCATTCAACTTGTCAACCATGATCTGAAACGCACTTGACAAAGGTATGTTCAGGTAAACTCATGGAAATCAGTTGGAATTATTGGTCTCATTTAATCATTGGGATAAATGATAACATTACTGAATTTCCAAATTCCTGAAAATCACTGTAGTCATTATAGCAATCATTTCAAAACATTCAACTTAAACGTTTATAAAATGAAAATTCTTACTAAAATTTTTTATAGAGCATAATCCTATAAAGCAGTTTGATTGATTTGGTTTTATTCCCATTCAACTATTTTGCAGTTTCATTCAATTTATATTATGTTAGATGGATGTTAATGTCCTAGCTATATGTGCATTTGGCATTGTTGCCTAATTAAAACTTCCCTTAATTTATCAATGAAATCACAATAAAGTGTCCATCACTTTGTATTGCATGGACACGGGGTTTAAGAGCAGAATAATGGCACTGTGCCCTCTTCAAAGTCATTATACAGATGAAATCATGCCAACATGTCCAGTAGAAACAGTCTTGAAAAGGGAAATAAGTTAGAAAAGGCCGCTGTCTCAGCCATGCCAGCGCAGGTGGCGGAGGAGGCGGCGTATCAGTGACAGTGGTGACTGCGTGTGCATGCGTGGCGGAGGAGGTGGCGTATCAGTGACAGTGGTCACTGCGTGTGCGTGCGTGGCGGAGGAGGTGGCGTATCAGTGACAGTGGTGACTGCGTGTGCATGCGTGGTGGAGGAGGCGGCGTATCAGTGACAGTGGTGACTGCGTGTGCGTGCGTGGCGGAGGAGGCGGCGTATCAGTGACAGTGGTCACTGCGTGTGCGTGCGTGGCGGAGGAGGCGGCGTATCAGTGACAGTGGTGACTGCGTGTGCGTGCGTGGTGGAGGAGGCGGCGTATCAGTGACAGTGGTGACTGCGTGTGCGTGCGTGGCGGAGGAGGTGGCGTATCAGTGACAGTGGTGACTGCGTGTGCGTGCGTGGCGGAGGAGGTGGCGTATCAGTGACAGTGGTGACTGCGTGTGCGTGCGTGGCGGAGGAGGTGGCGTATGAGTGACAGTGGTGACTGCGTGTGCGTGCGTGGCGGAGGAGGTGGCGTATCAGTGACAGTGGTCACTGCGTGTGCGTGCGTGGTGGAGGAGGCGGCGTATTAGTGACAGTGGTGACTGCGTGTGCATGCGTGGTGGAGGAGGTGGCGTATGAGTGACAGTGGTGACTGCGTGTGCGTGCGTGGCGGAGGAGGTGGCGTGTCAGTGAGAGTGGTGACTGCGTGTGCGTGCGTGGCGGAGGAGGTGGTGTATCAGTGACAGTAGTCACTGCGTTCATACGCGTGGAGGAGGCGAAACGTCAGTGACAGGGCTCATTGTATGGATGGGTGGTGTTTGATGCAGCCTCCTAAGCCATGGATGCATTTACAAATAGCCCCTATTGGTTAAGCACAGTGGGACCCTGGGAGTTGAATGCCACAACCCAAACAGGATTGGGATCTTGAGTTTAGGATCTTCAGACTCCTTTAGTTCTGGTCCCCTACAATTTGTACTGATGGTTCCATTGCTGTTCTAGAATCCTGGGCACTTTTAAAAAATTCATACTAAATTTGGCCCCTGTAGGAAAGAAAGTACATTTATCTGTTTCAAATTTATTTTTGATAAAACACTTAATTTCCTATTGGCTCTGAACTACAATAAGATCAGTGGCAATCAAGTGGAAATATGAGACATTGAATGTTGATATTTTTCTCTCTGAAGGAAATTGTGCTCATAATGTAATATGGTGCAGGGGAAATTGTATTAATAGTAACAGGTTGTGGAAGGTGTCCTACACCTGTCCCCAACTAGCTGTGTAACCCAGAGTGATTCACCGAACCCTTCCCTGAGACGTACATCCTTACCTATAAGGATTTCCATTCAGAGCCTTTTCATATATTGTTTCCAACTGTTATCTTCTGAACAGTATGCAGAACATACAAAATAAGAGAGGGTCTGATAGGGCATGACAGGGGCAGAGCAAAAACTGGTTAATAGCATCTCGTCGACAGGCGTGGCTCTCTGCCCCTGCTCACCCTGCAGTGGCTTCTTCAGTCAGGGCTAAGGTCTCTGAGCAGCCATCGTGCAGAGTGTGTGAAGTCAATAAATATTTAAAAACAGAGCATAGTAAGCAGAGATGACAAGTGCAGCCACCACCACAGCTCAGTCAATTAAATCCTGCTGCCAGCACAAACTTCCTGTGTTTAAAAGTGCAACTGGGTATGGGCCCATACTCAGAGAGTATATTCCTTGTCAACATTTTTTTTTTTCAATAGAAATAGTAAGAGTTTTCAGATTTGGGCTGTGCTGATACAAACATGCTCAAAATCCCATTGAGAAAAACATATTAGTCATCTAAATGAAGAAGTTTGCTAATGTTCTAAATCTTTCTATCCTGGGATATAATTTTGTTTTATTGAGTTTCTTCAGTGTTAAGCATATTGTGTCACAGAAGTGCTTTTAGCATTAGGAAAAGAATCATGTTTTAATTTTAATCCTTTCAGATAATTTATTAAAACAAAATAAGAGCATGCAAAGAGCCCAGTTAAAGTGAGCAATAAAGGCCTAGATATTTTCGTGCTTCTGAGAAATTTAGTACGGTATGAGATTTGCTGGAATAAAATCAATAGAATTGGTTTTATGGCTATAGCATTGCTATTTCATCTCTTTGTTTACTTGGGCATTTATTACTGGTGCATGATGCACAGAATGGGTAGAAATGCTGAAATGTGGTCTTTTGGCTCTCTTCCAGCCAGGGATTATTCAGGTGGAGACAAAACAAGCTTGCTTCTCCAGTAAAAGATCTGATAGCCTTGAGATGCCCAAGGACAGTGGCCAGAAGTAATTGTAGTTTTGCCTTATTATTTTTTTAAACTCACACAGATATGGATTGTACAGAAATGCATTTTCATATTCTGAAAGTGTAATAAAAGCCTCAAAGTCAACAGCTCAGTAGTATGTAGACAAAGCTTTGATCCATAAGGGAGGTCTTACTGAGTATATATCCCTTCTGCCCATTATCCCAGTATATAAGCCATCAATAGATCGGGGGCAAGGGTGTGTGTCCATCAGAGTTTAATGAAACAGTAGGGAGGAGAACAAACACCTAGGCTCATGTTTATAGGGGCCAGGGATAGTCTGTGGACTTTCCTGCAACTGTCCATGGAGCCAGCCCTATAGTTCTTAATTGCCAATGTGGATTCTCATAAAATTAAACAGTATTATTCTGTCTTCACTATTAAGAGTAGCCATAGTAAATCACCTCCTCTCCAGTTTTCTGTTTTAACTGTGAGGTGTAGTTCATTCTCTGGATAGGGATGGCTTCTGTTTGCCTTTGTAATTCGTTGCAGAAAACCTATTATTTGCATTTCAAGCTTAGGTTCAGGTGTCTGCAGTAGATCAACAGCATAATTCTTTGTACTAAACTTAAGCATTCAAGCCCAGTCTAGAACACATTTCACAGAATGTCACAGTGTCCTAGAGCCAAAAACACAGCCATAGAGTCAACCATGAACTTGGAAAATCCTCCAGAGTATGCAGAGCTATCAAGGGCAACGTCTCTTAGGAATAAAGCAATTAATTCAGAAATTAAATTTTCTACTTTACTCTTTCTGCAAGACCTTAGTCACATATATGACTTTCTTCAGGGATCCTTAAAACTATATTAGCCATCTGTGAGTTTGCAAGTAGCTAAATACACCACCTGTAATTATTAGTTTAATTATTATAACATAGTATCCTCACAAAGCATTGCTACATTTGTCAAATGTGCTGAAATCAGTTCTAACCAGAGAAAGTGTTGAAAAGACAGTGAGACAATTCTTCTCAAAATTGGAGGAACATAAAAGAGGCCCAGCTGACTCACATCAGTACATTTGCATGACTGACCCCCTCTCTCATATGGTCTCCTTATGGTGAGCGCCGTTCACAATGCACCCTCCTGGCCTCTTGCTTGCCTTAGGGCTGAGTGCACCTGTGCTGAGAACCAGGGCCATTCAACTCATTATTGTCATGATGCAACAGTGAAGAAGTACTTGAAACAGTAAGGATGCTTCTCTGGCTTAAAGAAAATATTGAGGGATTAATGGTGTTGATTGCTTCTCTGTTTGCAACATGACTGTATATAAAATAAAAGAAGTACGTGTTTGATTTTACCCAATGGCTGACAAGCATTTGGGACATACTTCTTAAGCTGTTTATATAAACCAGGTTCAGAATGGTTTAGAGACGTAGTTCATGGACCTATTTCCTATGAAAAGGACATAAGAGACTTTTGTGTTTTATTTCTCACCTTCTGAAGTAATATATTTCAAGGCTTTTAATCAGAAAGAATGAATTAAATGACTAAAATGCCAGACCCAAAGTATGGCCAACTGTATCTTCCAAAGATGGCTGTCACATATTTATCATTTGAATGTTCTTCTCACAATGTCAGGTTGACACTCCGCCACTGAGTGGTAGGGACAATGTTGTCTCTCCCCAAGCTCAGGCAGAACACTGTGAGTGTCTCAACCAACAGGGTACAGTGACACTATGTGACTTTGAAGGCTAAGGTCATAAACATGTCATGCACTTCCACCTTGTTTCCTTGACAGGACCCAACTTGGAAGTCAGCCACCATGTTGTGAGGAAGCCCAAGCCACATGGAAGGGTCGCTGCAGGTGTGCCAGCCCAGAGTCTCAGCTGAGGCCTCAGAAGACAGCCAACATCTACTGTGATGACGCCCAGATCATACCAGTCCCCAGAGGTCAAGTTATCTCAACCTACAGGTCGTTCCAGATGATAACCCAGTAATTTTGCAACAAAGGCAAGCCAGCTCCTATGTTCTGCTTATATGCCTGACCCACAGAGTCCACGAGCATAATGCAATATTTGTTTATGTCAGCTGTGGTATAGTTTTTTACTAACTTTTCTTTATGAGTTTGTACAGGGAGAGAGAATTAAGAGACTCAGATGCCAGACCCTAAAGATAAGGTGCTTTGTTACGATAAGGAATTCTCTTTCCAGACATTTATAATTTAAGGTATGTTGATGTATTTAGTGCCTAAATGTCTTAGCATGGTATTTCCTTGTGTTTTATACAGTTTGTCTTTCTCTACTCCCCAGCACTACAACGAACATATGTACAAACTTGTGTCACCAGAAATTGTAAGTGACATCTGCAAAGAGAGAGATTGAGAGAAAGAGAAAGAGAGAGAGAGAGAAGACAAACAGAGACAGGGAGAGAGAGGCAGAGAGAAATGGAGACCGAGAGAGATTGATTTATCCTGTAAACATCCACATCACTTTACTTAACCTCTTTTGGTACTCGGCCTTTCAATTTTGTAATACGGCCAATGAGGAATTTCGGCAAATCTCATATCTAGGAGACCTAGGAGCTTGTGAAGTCCTTGTCCATCAGTGGCTGTGCATTCACTGGCTCCTGGCATGGTGTCTGGTCTTGAGTGTAGACAGTCAGCCTTGGAGAATGTTTACTAAATGCACAGTGAAGGGAGCATGTGCATCTCACCTTCCTGGCTACCTTAGTTCTCATGATATCCTCAGAGGAGCTCTTTCTAATAATGGTTATTTGTCATTTCCAAGGGTGTGCTACATTTTGCATTTATTTAACATCCTGAAATTGTTACATAATACGTTTATTATATTATAATCTCCTTTGTGTCTCTGGTAATATGCACTTTTGTTAAATTTTCATATGTATCATTGCTTTATCTAATAGATCACATTTAGGACAAGCAATGGATTAAGACTGCCTTATCAGGGAAATCTAATGCTTGTCTTTAAGAAGAGAGGTTTAGCTTCAATTAAGACATATACATCTAAGATTTATCACTGCAAGTAGATACTTAATGTCTGTGTTTGGAATGTACTAATTAGGTTCCAATTAGCAGGGTCAAAATATGTAAATCAAAAGCACTTCATCCCCTTTGGTGTCTCTTTCTCTCCCATAACTAATTATCTGTACTCTTCTTGGTCCCAGCAAACACCACGGACCATGTCTTTAAGTCTCTAATATGGTTTCTTCAAGTATGGGCCAGGTGCTGTCAACCTGTATGTTCCTCCTGAATAAGTCCCTGAGGGTGGGAGCAGAGGGTCTGCATTTTACCAAGAAGACCAAGTAATCTCACTGGAAAATATAGCTTGAGAAATACTATTCTTTAGCCACTTAGGCATTTTCACTATGATATCTTTAGGGTTTATCTGATGGATACTTACCAAGTGTTTCTCATCTCTCCAGGGGCTGTGAGTAGCATAAGAAAGCCTAACCCACCGCCCTATCCTGGAAGTGTGGTCAGGTTATTAAGGTATTGCAGATGACAATCATCATACAGGGCAGCTTTTTCAGTGACTCAAAGAAAACCCTTAGTATTCCATAAGCTGATATACCTTTTAAAGTTCATTTCTAAACTAAACATTGCAAAAAGTTTCTTGTCAAAAGAGATTTCAGATGTCTCTATATACTGTTTCTTGTATAAATCACACACCCTTACCAAGAGCCCTGAGCTGGGACCCACAAATGGAAATCAAAGGTAATGTGTTCCTCCATTATATAATAGGAATTTCATAAAACCCATACAACAGTCATCTGTGTTATACAGAAAAACATTCATCACTGAGCATTTGAACATTTTGATGTTTCTGAAGTACAGAATTCATGACACTCTGCAAGTTTTTCCAACCAATTTACAAATTATTTTCATCCCTCATCTTATTATCCTACCTAGTGTCAACTTGTTCTTTCGGCATAATCAATCTGAATGACTGGTAAGGTTTCATAGTGCAGCACTTTAGTTTATGCAGACATCTGCCCAAAAGCATCTCAATCACTCATAGCAAGAAACAGGGGCAGCATTAGCCATGAGGAAATGCTGTTTTGTTACACATGTATATCTAAAGACAGGGCTATTTGTATAAAAGAAAGTCAGGGTAGTGATAGACAGAACTAATGTATCAATGTCAGCAGAAAATGCAAGTCAAGGTATGGCAGCAAAAATCAGCCTCACAGGGTACCTGGAACACCATTAATTTAAATTTAAAGCCCTTGTGGGGAAACGGATATGATATAATCACTAAATTATCATTCATAAATGAAGGTCTATCAAGTAGACTATAGTATTATATTTATATAAGAAAATCTTTTCACCTTGCATTCACACATAGGGGTTTATGTTGCTTTAAGTATTTTTCTAGTTTTATCATTACATTCTTAAACTACAGTCCAATGTGTAGCGATAAGGGATTACTGACATTTATAGTAAGTTATTTGTTCTTATTATTCTAAAACAATAGATAATTTTGATATAGAAATTAAGAAATAACTTATGTATGTAGATATAAAGAAGTAAAACATGATATATGATTCTAATGGAGAAGATAATGTGATACTCTCTAGCTATTTATGTGACTTTGGAAATTACTTATTGCATGCTAGAATACAACCAAACCAGCTATTAAAAGTTAAGAGGAGGTGGCAAAGCAGAAAATACTTTAAAGGAAACTTCCAAAGAGCCCCAGGTGATGTAAAGTTATAAAAGCTGAATTTGCTTTTAATACCAATTCAACATAGTTTTTCAAACTGACGAAAAGTACCTAGATGGCATTAAACCCAAACATAAAATCTGTCTGCAATTAACCATAAATCCTTCACTATCCCGTACACATCTTGCTTCATCGGAATCAATGTTGACTTATCATGAGCAATACCTCTGATTCTTTAGAAGTATGTGCTACATAAGATACAAATTGGCTGGGCGCGGTGGCTTATGCCTGTAATCCCAGCACTTTGGGAGGCCGAGGTGGGTGGATCACAAGGTCAAAGATCGAGACCATCCTGGCCAACATGGTGAAACCCCGTCTCTATTAAAAATACAAAAAAAAATAGCTGGGCGTGGTGGCGCATGCCTGTAGTCCCAGCTACTCAGCAGGCTGAGGCAGGAGAATTGCTTGAACCCAGGAGGCGGAGGTTGCAGTGAGCCGAGATCACGCCACTGCACTCCAGCCTGGCAACAGAGTGAGACTGAATCTTCTCAAAAACAACAACAAAACAACAACAAAGATGCAAATCAACAGTGCTGCATGAAGAAGTACTCACCCAGACCCTGGCTGGGTACTCATGGCATGCTCCCTCATTGAAAACCGCCATCATCAGTATTAGCCTCTCCACCTCACACACATCATAAAATGCTCCCAGTAAATATCATCCGGGTGCGTGCCATGAATTTCATGTAGTTCCCTCTAGGAACTTTGTTCCACTAACTGCAACATTCTCTCTAGCCATTTAGGAATAACTAGTTCATACTTCCCACTGTCTGTCCTCCACCACAGAATAGAGAAGTACATCGTATATATACTATAAATACTTCATTTGGTGATTAAGGTCTGATGTATCTGTTGTATATTGTGGGTCTTTATAGATTTTCTTTTGTTAGGAGAGCACATTTAAGGGTAAGATTCCAAAGATTGGAAACATTACTGGACTGAAGATTCTTTGATGTAACTGTGAAGACTCCTAAGAGGAAAATTCTGCTTGTAAACTGGCCGGCCAGCCTTCAGGGAAACATGTCACAGGAGCACGCTGGGGTCACATTGCCTAGCACAAAACAGAACTCTATTAAACATTTGGGATCTGATAGTCTCTAATGTTATTTAGATAACTGAATAAAATGCATTTTTTTTTTAAAGATGGGGATCTTGCCATGTTGTTGAGGCTGGTCTCGACTCTTGGCCACAAGTGATCCTCTGGCCTCAGCCTCCTGAGTAGCTAGGAGCGCAGGTGTGAGCCACCGCACTTGGCTCTAAAAGGCATTTTTAAAAATGAAGGTGAAAACAATTAAAAAAAAGTCGAGTCAATAAAAATTTAGCCAATTTTCACATCCAGAGAATCATTTTTTATAAACTTAATTATGTTATTTTCCTTTTGCATTTGGATTGGCCCTACCTGAAAATGTATACATCATTTGGTTTATGCTTACCCGTGTGGCTACTGTGAAAGATATCAAATCATGTACCCCGGAAGCCCTTCATTTATTATGGCTCCAGGGCAAAGGGGAGCAAAGGCCACTTCCGGGAGGACGCACTGATGACACAGCAAAGTCTCCAGCAGCCATGAAGAAGCCTGGCCCCTGCAATGCCGAGAGGGAGGAGGATAGAAGACGATCAAGGAAGGGCCAGGGGCTTGGACCCAGATCCCTTTCTTGGTCTCCTTTCTGGTCTGTCAGTCTGGAAGGTGGCAGTTTCTTAGAAAACTTCTAACATCTAAGGTTTAGGAAATCCCAGGGCAGTGGGGCTTTTAAAAATTGCTTCGGATGCAGACAAAGAAACCTCAGGCCTACTGTGTGCACCTCCCACGTGTGTATCTACGTAGGATGTAGAGAAGACAAAGGGACACAGTGAGCATGGTGGTGGCGAAAGGTCACCTGTCTCCCACGGAGGCATGGCTTCCCATGGAGAGAAGGAGGCCAGCAAAGGCCACAGGGGCATAACCAGCTTACCACGCCCCCTGGGAGGGACCCTTTCAGAAGAGACAAGGGTGGATGGCCCACTCTAGGAGTGCAGCCTTGCCCAGATCCTGGAAGACAGGGTGGTGTGACTATGGTGTGCCACTCAGCTCCAAAGGAACAAGGGTAGAAGCTCTGGTCTGAGAGCTGACAGGGTGAGGACAGCTGCAGTCAGAGCCAGACGAGGTGTCAGCATGGGCCCAGTCCCTCATCACCACCAAGGTGCACCGTCACAGAGGCATTCCTGGGCCCACCCAGGCTCTCAGCGTCATTAGCATGGGCCTGGCCCCTCATCACCAGCAAGGTGCCCAGTTACAGAGGCATTCCTGGGCCCACCCAGGCTCTCAGCATCATTAGCATGGGCCTGGCCCCTCATCACCAGCAAGGTGCCCAGTTACAGAGGCATTCCTGGGCCCACCCATGCTCTCAGCGTCATTAGCATGGGCCTGGCCCCTCATCACCACCAAGGTGCACTGTCACAGAGGCATTCCTGGGCCCACCCAGGCTCTCACCGTCATTAGCATGGGCCTGGCCCCTCATCACCAGCAAGGTACCCAGTTACAGAGGCGTTCCTGGGCCCACCCAGGCTCTCACCACCATTGGCACGGGCCTGGCCCCTCATCACCACCAAGGTGCACTGTCACAGAGGCGTTCCTGGGCCCACCCAGCCTCTCACCTCCGTCAGCACATGGAAGAAGAGAACAGGGAAGAGACCCCTCTGCAGACAGTCCACTCCATCTGGGGCTAAGCTTTGCCAAACCGAGAGAGAAAGGCTTTAAACTGTGAACAATGTCCACAATAACGACAATACTGGAATCAACTGGATACTGTCAAAAAGAGTCTAGGTTTTAAACCAGAAGTAGCTAAAAAATGATTACACTGATTTTACTAGGTTGGACTAAATTTAGTTCTCCTGCTGCTGAGAGAAATTGGCAGCTTGTCAAAGAAAAGTTACAGAAAATAAAATGAGTTGACACATGTTGATTATTGATTTCCAGTTCAAACTCACCACACAGGCATATCAACACACATGCACACACACACACACACATACACACACACACACACACACACACACACACACGGTCATATGCATAAATATTTCAGTCACATTCTTTGATTCACGTGTATGGTATAAATCAGAAAGCAACTGAGCATCTTCCTGGCTGCTTCCAGAATAAACCACGTTTGTTACAGCTTTCTAGTCTGGGGAGACAGCCGAGGTAGCCCGCTGCCTCCAAAAGCTGACTGTGGCAGCTCGGGTAACTTTGGAGCTTGTTTTCTCCACTTCAGAATATTAACTTGCGGGAAGATGACATTCTGAAAGAAGACCTGTTCTCCAAACCATTCGGTCAAGGAGCGAAATCCTCAGCGATGGGCGTGCAGACTGAAAGTCAGCGCTCGGGCCCCTGCTGCATCTTTGAGTTGCTTCAGGAGCCTCCCACCTGACTGCTCTGCCATCCATCCGCGCCTCTCACACTTCTGTTCCTCCCCGTCTTAGGCCCCAGTGTTGCATGTCCTTGGACTGATGTCCTGATAGGCTTCACTGGCTTTGATTTTCCACCCGCCTCCAGAACACAGCATTAGGGGTTCTGCTACCAGTCTTCCTAAGCTAACCCCACAGGACAGGGGCACTCTCTGCAGCACCCCCCACTGCTCTGAGCTGTTGGAGTTGGGAGGAGGCCTGCAGAGACCTTCCAGGGACTCTGAGATGCCGTGGAACATGCCTACTGGTTCCTAAATCCAATGAAACGTTTCAGTCCTTTAACCAGCATCTCAACGAGGATGATTCCAAATCTCTGTCTCTAGCCCCAACTTTTCATTTGAATTCCAGATCCTGATGAGGGGCACAGAGGCCTTCTCTGAACTTGATCAAGTAGCTCCCACCCTTGGCCCCTTGGTCACTCTCAACCACAGTGTCCTAATTTATCTTCTCCAAAATACTCACCAGCATCTAAAATTATCTTATTGATTTGTTCTCATGTTTATTGTATATCCCCCTACCTCTTCCCAAATTCACCAGACAGGTGACGTGATATTCTAAGGAAATCATATAATACTGCTTTAGGGTCAAATAAAACACACGAATGTCAACGAAGACGGGGACTCGTAAGTTGTGTGTTTCTGACCCTAGAATGGTACTTGGCGCCAACAGATTCTCCAAAAAATATTTGGTTACTGACTCACCAATCTGTATCACAGAAGTCAACTTGACACTTCCACCTGGACATCTCTCAGACACTAAAAATTCAGTCCAAAATTGAGTGCACAACAGTTCTTTATTATCATTCTGTCTAATCATAAGCCAAGGGCACTACTCTCTGTTCAGTTCCAAATCCAGACACCCGAGAATCACCTTAACTCTTCGTTCTCTTTGACCCCCACATCTCAGCTTGTCCCAGTGACCTCACGGCTCTGGATCGCCCATGCCGCCACTTCTCATGTAGATTTCTGGGACAGTCTTCTCTCTGGCTGGCTTCCTATTAGGCCCTTTTAGACATAATTAGTTTTTTAAAGGCGAATATGAATAAGATGCTCTTTTATTTCAAATCTCCTCAGTGGCTTGCCACTGCTCCTAGGATCCTGCTCCACATCTCTGGAAGAGCATTCAAGACCCTGTGTGAGTGGCCTCTCCACCCGCACCCACAGGCTGGCCTTTCCTGATGCTCTAGCTTTTCATTAGTAATTTTTTAAAAATCCTGCAAACACCTGTCTTATTTTCCTAAGGAGATGGAACTCACTTCCAAAACATTCAACGTTGCAACAACCAAATTGCTAACAGTCCACCAGTTTAAGGGCTGAGAATATGAACTCTGCTTCTGTTTCTTGACACAGCCTCACTCGACATTAAAAATAAATTGGTTCCCCATCTAGATCAACTTGAAACATGAATTAAAAACGAGTATACTAGGCTGGGCACGGTGGCTCACACTTGTAATCCCAGCACTTTGGGAGGCCGTGGTGGGTGAATCACTTTAGGCCAGGAGTTGGAGACGGGCATGGCCAATATGGTGAAACCTTGTCTCTACTAAAAATACAAAAAAAATTAGCTGGCATGGTGGCAGGTGCCCACTCGGGAGGCTGAGGCAGGAGAATCGCTGGAACCCGGGAGGAGGAGGTTGCAGTGAGTGAAGATTGCCCCATTGCACTCCAGCCTGATCAACAGACTGAGACTCTGTCTCAAAAAAAAAAAAAAAAAAAGAAAAGAAAAGAAAAAAACGGTGTGCCAGTTGAAACTACTCACATTTTAAAAGGATGTCACACAAATTTCAGCCACATTGTAGAGTTTTCTTATTTCCATTTACCTTGCATGATAAGCTCCACCAACAAAAAGCAACAGAATTTACTATGGCATGTATATATTAAATTGTATTTTTTTTTCAGAAATGCAATTTCTTTCTGAGATTACTTTAATCAAAAGAATAATTGCATTATTCATGAGCCATGCTCCGTTAATTGGAAGTGTTGGTCAATTATTACATGAGATCGCATCACCTTTCAATAAAGAGAAAAGAGTTCTCTTGTGCTGGTCTTTCAACCACAATTACCCCCTCTCAGTCCAGTGACTTATAACACAGCAGCAAAGTTAATCATTTAAAACTAGAAATCATCTTTGAAAAGTCAACCAGTGGAAACATGTTTCTAACAACAATAACAGCGGGAGAGTGTACTTTAGAGGAATTCATAAGTGCCTCTGCAACAGGATCTGGATAAAGGTCATATTTTTAATTACTATGGGTACAAATTTTACAAATCACATGCTGTCTTTACCGGTACAAAAAATTTATCAGAGGTGGAGCTTGGGGACATGCGAAATAATAGGGCTTTGAGTAGTTCCTCCAACTTTACAAATATTTCATCCTTAAGAAGCAGACATTTAAAAAAATTCACTGAGGAAGGGAATGCGATATTCTATGATACTCACAGCATACTGTTTAGGGATCAAATAGAAGAAGTAAATATTCAACAGCAAGGAGCTGTTATTACAATGGGCTTGATTTTTAACCCCTTATGTTGTCCAGGTCCTGCACATTAAAAGTTCTATGTGTGACAATTCATTGTTTTATTCATTAATTCTGTCTGTCTAGAAGATTCTGAACCTGCTTCAGAGGGCATAGAATAAGAAACTGAGGACGAGAGGAGGCCCAGTGCTGAGTCCCTGGAACTCATGTTGTGCTGAGCACAGCGACTACCATTTAGTACATGTTTAACTGCCCCATAACTGCTGGTCTCTCCATTGTCCTTGACTGTGACTGCCTGACAAATCTATGTTCTGTGCTTCAGCTATGCTGAGCACCACATTCTCAGTTAGGTATAGAAGATGTGGTTTATATAGCACTTCTTACAGTGCCTCTAAGTCAGTGACACTTAGTATTCCAGGGCATTGAGATGTAAATGTATCCTGGGCACATAGAGCATATACGCTGTGTCACAATTGTTCAAAATTAATTATATATAATTCTTTTCTTAATATAGGAGTCCAGTGGCTACCTCTTTGAGGACTCATTTGAGCCTTGCACAGTGTAGATGACACTAAAAATGCATGATATGTTGAATTTCACACACATGTTTAAGCAGGCCTGGTGATGGTACAGTGGTTGAGACTGTCCTATTTGTCTATGTTGGCATGAGATTGAAGCACAGAGCTTTCTGGAAGGCTAGTTCACTGCTGAGGATACAGAGCAGTGCTAAGTGTGGGGCAGATAAGGCCAGGGGCTATGGGCTGGGCATAAGGATGGACAGGGCGGGACTCTCACTGGGAAGGGGCTATGGGAAGGTGCTTGGTGTCACTCGAGGGACTGGGAGGAAGGCTGACACAAAAGCAGGTGGGCAACGGCCCTGGAGGACATGGTCTCCAGGTCGGGTTTTGGAGTCAGACAGGCCTGAGGTCAGATCTCGGCTTGTCGTCACTGGCTGTGTGATCTTGGCAAGTTATGAATGGTCTTTCTAAGCCCCTGGGTATCTGCAGAAGGAGGCGGTGACTCAGGACTGCTTACTATCCACACTTATTCAGGTTCTACATGTGGATAATGAGATGCTTGATACTGAGTCTGGACAGAGATGTGTTATCTAAATCCCATTCATTACCGAGTTCATACAGTCAGAGTTCAGGTAGGGAGGGGTACTGGTTATAATAACTCTTCTTAGAGTTGCTGCAACAATTAAATGAGATGATGTATCCGAATGGCAGCAGCTGGGACTTACTAAGGTCTCAAAAAGCATTGTGACTGCTGTTGCTACTACTACTACTACTACAACTATTACTATAATGATTAGAACTATTAGTCTGCTATACAACTATCACAGATAATATTACTTAATTAGAAGGGTAGCGGATGGAGGCCATGGCTCTGCTTGAATGAAGTGGTTTGACCTTGATTCACGTAGTACGCATTGCTGAGCTGAAGCAGGAGAATCACAGAATTATAGCAGTGCTCTGAAAGCCTGGTATGGCTGCAGGACTCAGATGAGCCAGATGGTCAAAGTGGAAGAGTTGGTAAATCAAGGTTATTGCAATAACTCAGTTAGTACTAATAAGGGCCAGGGATGAATACGGTAGTTACGAAACTTGAAAGGACAGGCACAATTCTAAAAACCATTCAAAGGAAAAAACAGGGATGGAATAAAAACTAAAAGGTCATTTCTGTGAAGATCAAAGACACACAGCTGAAGATTCACAAGGAAAAAATGGTGAGCTGGCAAGAGAGATGATGAGCATGGCCCATTCCTTAGAAAGGAGTCTGATTGTGAACAAAAGAAAAAACCAGACGTGAACAGCGGCAGTGGCCTCACCTCTCTGAGCTGCCTTCCCATGTCCTGGGCCGCTCTTTCCCCTTTGCTGTCTGGTCCTCCTCTCACAAGTCTGGACTCTGTTGCTGCAGGCTCAGGTTTAGACCCTGCCTTTGCTCTGCGCACATGTCCTTCCCGATCTCATCCATTCTTCTTGCCTTTAAAGACCACCTATTTGATGATGATGGCACGTCCTGACTCAGTTTGAACATCCCATTGGATGCTGAATCTCAAACTATTGATTTTTACCCAAAACCTGCTCCTCCCACTGCCCTCCCTATCTCAGTAAGTGGACACCCAGTCTTCCGTGACTCAGGCCGAGTCCCACGGTGCCATCTTTCACTCTGCTGCCTGTCTCATGCCAGTATCTAACCCACATACCTCTCGTATGTGCAGAGACTGGTGGCTTCTCACTGACCTCAGCACGCCCACTGCTGGTGGAAACCTCCATCATCTCTGATCTGGGTTAGCACAAGAGACTTCTGTGTCATCATCTTCACTCCAGCTACAGAATTCTCCCAGCATGGTAGCCCCTAAAGTAAGGTCTGACTTTCTGCTTAGAACTCTTCAATCCTTTCTCATCTTATCCTAAAGAAAAGTGGAGACCCTCACGGAGTCTGACAGGGCCCTCTGAACACAGGGCCCTGCTACTTCTCTGCACCCACCTTGCTCTTCTCCACACTCACTGGGCCCTGGCAGGTTACATCCACTGCTGTCTACTCAACCACACAGGAGCCATCTCAGGGCCTGTGTGTCTGCAGCTCCATCTGCCTGGAACTCCCCTCCCAGATATCTGTGTGGCTGCCCATCCCAGTTCCTTTGGATCTATCTTCAGATATCATGTACCACAGAGGCCTTCCCTGACCACCTCCTAGACCGCAGGAACTCCCTTCCCCACCACTACCTGCCCCAGCCTCTGTCACCTGCTTCCATTTTTTTTTTTTCTGTAGCAAGTGCTGTCTCATTTCTGTATATTTGCTTATTAATTTCTTGTCCATTTTCACTACCAAAGTACAGGTTCTGTGAAGGCAGAGGTGTTGTACTGTATACAGCCACATCATCAACATCTAGAACAGTGCCTGAAAGATACGTATTGAATAAATGTGTGGTACAAGTACGCTGGGCACAGTGGCTCCCACGTGTAATCACAGCACTTTGGGAGGCCGACGTGGGAGGATCACCTGAGGTCAGGAGTTTAAGACCAGCCTGGCCAATATGGTGAAACCCCGTCTCTACTAAAAATACAAAAATTAGCCGGGTGTGGTGGTGGGCACCTGGAATCCCAGCTACTCGGGAGGCTGAGGCAGGTGGGTCATTTGAACTCAGGAGGCAGAGGTTGCAGTGAGCCAAGATTGCACCACTGCACTCCAGCCTGGGCAACAGAGCGAGACTCTGTCTCAAACAAACAAACAAAAAAACCATGTAGTACAAGTAAATACTTAAAAAAAATAAGTATCCCATTCTGTATGGAAAGATGAGGAATGAGCTGCACAGAGGGAAAGTTCGTAACGTGAATGTTGGCTCAAAAAAAATTCTTCAGTAAGCCATCAGGGGTGGAATAAAAAGCTTTAAAAAGTGCACGTAGAGGGGGTTCTAAGAGGAATGTGCTATTTTGCGATGAGATTTAGCCTGACTGCACTCTGCCTGTGCTGACCTGGATGCAGACAGTCGCTGCCTCCACCGAGGAGGGCGTGCATCTCTTCACCCACTCGGCTGAACTTCAGCAGCTTCCACAGTGACAGGAACGGATGGGAGAATGGACTTTGTTGTTTCGAGGGATGGTGGTGGTGGTGGTATTTTTATTTGCTCATTTATCTTGGAAGTATCGAGTGGTAGACAGTGGCACATGGCAGTGGCAGGTGCAGCAGCCTCCAGGGAGTTAAATCCTAGCCCTGCCACTGGACTTCTGACTTTGGCTAAGGGTTGCCTGGTGAATGGCAGACAGTGGCACGTGGCAGTGGCAAGTGCAGCAGCTTCTGGGGAGTGAAATCCTAGCTCTGCCACCAGACCTCCAACTTTAGCAAAGTCTCTGACCACTTTGTGTCTTTGTTTCCTTCTCTGTAATATGAGAATATGAATGTGGGTTCCTAACCTGTATCTGAAACCCAAGGTTTCAGAGCTTTTCAGATTTTAGGAAGGTAATACAGAGTACAGGCTGTATTTTATGGAGCACCCACAGCAGGGTCTAATCGAACACATGAGGATATCTGTGGTGAAATACATGAACATTCATACCTAGTGGGATAAATCGAGGATATTGATATGGTTTGGATGTGTCCCCACCCAAATTTCATCTTGAATTGTAGCTCCCATAATCCCCACATGTCGTGGAAGAAATCCGGTAGGAGGTAAGTGAATCATAGGGGTGGGTTTTTCCCGTGCTGTTGTCATGATAATGAATAAGTCTCACAAGAGCTGATGGTTTTATAAAGGGGAGTTCCCCTGAACATGCTCTCTCTCTTGCCTGCCGCCATGGAAGATGTGACTTTGCTCCTCCTTTGCCTTCTGCCAGGAATGTGAGGCTTCCCAGTCACGTGGAACTGTGAGTCCATTATGCCTCTTTTTCTTTATAAATTACCCAATCTCAGGTATGTCTTTATTAGCAGCATGAGAATAGACTAATACATGTGGCGGTGGCAAGTGCAGCAGCCTCTGGGGAGTGAAATCCTAGCTCTGACACCGGACCTTCGACTTTGGCGAAGTCTCTGACCACTCTGTGTCTTTGTTTCCTTCCCTGTAATATGAGAATATGAATGTGGGTTCCTAACTCGTATCTGAAATCTGAGGTTCCAGAACTTTTCAGATTTTAGGAAGGTAATACAGAGTACAGGCCATATTTTATGTAGACCCACAGCAGGGTCTAATCGAACACATGGATACAACTGTGGTGAAATATATGAATATTCATACTTAGTGGGATAAATCAAGGATATAAACAGCCTCACTGCAGTTCATGCCAGGATTTGCCACCAAGAGTGCATGTCAGGCAAGTTTTGTCTCCAGATGAGTCAGAAATATTAGACTTTATCTGTCAGGTTAATGTATTTAACAACTTGGACTTTTTATTAAACTGCAAAGGATTTCACTTTATGTATGATTTTAATAACAATATTTGGCCTAAGTTAAACTCTTTCCTTCTCCCTCCATTCTTCCCTTGCCTCCTTCTTTCCTATGATTCTCTAAGCTCCCAACAGCCGGCCCTGTGGTGAGAGGGTGGCTGGTGGACCACGAGGAGCAGCCGCCGGGAGAGAGGCTGGGATGCTGCACATGGGGGAGTGGCTTGGGTTGGCTTTGGCTCCGCCCCTAGCTGGCCCCAGAATCAACAGAACCCTGAGGTCAAAACAGTGCTCCCGGGAGCTCCGCTAATGCAGCTTCTCTCTGGGGCCCGCTTCCACACTGATCTTGCCCCTAAACCCCTTTGATTTATCAATTCTGGCCCCATTTCTGGTAAGTCACTCCCTGGGAGGCAAGCTTCTCCAATGCATGGAAGTCAGGAGCTTATGGAGGAGAAGTGACCTGGGTCCCTTACATGCCAGGTTATGTAAAGCAACCCCAAATATCCAGCTGTGAGGAGTCCGCCAGAAATGCCAACAGACGAGCACTTTTCAGGGAAAAATAGAGACACAGCTCCCTCTCACGGTTTAAATGTATTGGGTAGAGATGAGCACAGCAAAAGAAATAGAGGGTCTTCCTGTTACGGGAAAGGGGTGTACAAATGGCACTTAAGTCAAGGATGTTCAATTTGTTCTCACTGTCAACATAGGGTAAAGTGGTTCTGTTCAGCTTTCTAAATGGCCAGGCTATTGGCTGAGTACAGCCTATCTGTTCGAGTAACTGTCACTTTATTTATAGTTACGGCAACTTCTTAGAACCGGTATCCTTTAAAATACAGCCTAATACTAGAGCCAGATGGGAAAAAATCCTAGGGTAAAATATTAAATTGTGACTAGTCATTTAATAGAACAAAGTTATTCATGACAGCTTATATATGTCAAAGCCTATATGCTGGCTTGTCTATAAACTGGCAGATGGATTTTTTTCCAAATACTGAGAAGAATTTCAGTCTGGATTTTAAAACGAGTAAGTTATTTCAAAACAAAACTGACCAATAAAAGAACTGATAAAAATTTGTTTAAGCTTATTTTATTAAAAACAACAACTGACTTTTTCTTTTTTTTTTTTTGAGACAGAGTCTTGCTCTGTCACCCAGGCTGGAGTGTAGTGGTGCGATCTCAGCTCACTACAAACTCCAGCTCCCAGGTTCAAGCGATTCTTCTGCCTCAGCCTCCCGAGTAGCTGGGATTACAGGTGTGCACCAGCACACCTGGCTAATTTTGTAATTGTAGTAGAGATGGGGTTTCACCATATTGGCCAGGCTGGTCTCGAACTCCTGACCTCGTGATCCACCCATCTTGGCCTCCCAAAGTGTTGGGATTACAGGCGTAAGCCACCACGCCTGGCCCAACAACTGACTTTAAAACTCAAAAGGCTTTATTTAAATTATACTAGTAAAAAAACCAATGAACATTCTTATTTATCTTCTAAACCATGGGAATATTTAAATAATTTTATATTTTATTATTTAATATAGATTTAGTATTATGTTCCTAAATCTGGGATATGGCTATTTTTTTCTGTTGAAAAACCAAAAAAGGCCAACTCTATATGTGGCCAGTATACAGGTAACTGAGGCTGACATAGAAGAGAGTTACATGTATCCACCAAACAAACTCAACCTATGAAGATCTTAAACATTTTTTTTCTGTTGATTTTCTTGAGTTTTCATGACTATTGCATAATGGTAGATTTATACTATTTCCATGTGGATGACAGGAGATAATGTCCAACATCTTCTACCCCTACAAATCAGATCTGAAATTTCTTTATGATTTCTTAATACTATCATCGAGCATTCAGGTAGGCTCCATGCCGGAAATTTAGACTCTTCTTTACTGCTTCTTCCTTGCTCCCATCTTCTAATAGGTCACCCAACCTTGTTCATTCTACATCAAAATCTCCTTTGGAAGTTGGTTCACTCACCCTACATTAGTATCAAACATTTTAGGTCAAGGTGGCAATTCTGACTTCCAGTAGTGATTTTTAAACTCAATAATGACAACAATAACAAAACACGTCATCGGCCTTTTCTTCATATTAAGTCTTATATGAACGCCCATTGTGTGAAACGCTGAACTGACAGCCTCCCCTTTACCCTCTCAGCAGCCCCAAGGCATCCTCACCACTGATGCGGAATATTAGGGCCCTCTGTCTTGTCTTTTCCAACAGCCTGGATGTCTACCCACTCCAGCCCATGCCCAGCATGGACATCAGAGTCTGCTCCTGCCTCCTGGCTCAGGTTCCTGGGGGCAGCGTGTGGAGCTGAGAAGACTGCATCGCCTGGATTCCATCCCAGCTGGGCGGCTTACTAGCCCATCACACCTGGGCAGTCCCGTGAGCCTCTTCTATCCTGTTTCTTCATCACTAAGATCGAGAATAAATTACAATATCTATTTTGGGGCATCCTCAGACAAACCCACTACAGGGCAGGGGGTCCCCAACCTCCCGAGCCATGGACCAGTACCTGTCCGTAGCCTGTTAGGAACCAGGCCGCACAGCCAGAGGTGAGTGGGTGAGCGAGAATTATCACCCGAGCTCCACCTCTTGTCAGATCAGTGGTGGCATTACCTTCTCATAGGAGCATGAACCTTATCGTGAACTACACATGCATGGGATGTAAGTTGTGTGCTCCTTATGAGGATCTAACTAATGCCTGATGATCTGAGGTGGAACAGTTTCATCTGCAACCACTCCACTCACCCTGTTTGTGGAAAAATTTTCTTCCACGGAAACTGGTCCCTGGTGCCAAAAAGGTTAGGGACCACTGCCATAGGACCTTTGGTTCTTCCAACACTCACACATAGCTGCCCCTCACCACTACTTATTGATTTTAAGTAAGAAAAAAGCCAGTGAGTCATTGCAACAAATAAAAACTACATGCAAGGCAAATTTACTACAAAATGTCTGACTTTCCCAGAAATTATGGTTGCTTTTTAAAACATATTTTATTAAAGAAAAGGAAAAAATAAAAACCTCTGCCCCTCACTGTCCTGAATGATATAAGACTATCTGATTGGATACTAGTATAAGTCTGATGTTGCTGCCTGGAAGAAAGCAGTGAGAGGCGTCAGAACACTCCAGCACACTTTGGAATGGCCAGGGAGTTTTGCTGGCAGACACTCAGCAGAAGATGCCTTACACTCCCTACCTCACCAGTCCCCACAGTAGGCGGTGGACCTTCATGTAATGGGAGACTCACACCTTCTGTGCAAGAGCCAGGCACATGGGTAACTCCAGGCTTTACCCCATGCTGCATTTATGAGAAGAAATAAGACAATGAATGAGCCTGTTAGGCCAGTGTCTGTCTTCTATGATTAACACAGCCAAGGAAAGTCTGGCCCACACAGAAAGAGCAGCCCTGCAGAAACACTAGTCCCCCTGAGCTTTGTGCTTCAGCTTTTCCAAACCCAACTCAATCCACCATATAGAAAACTCAGCAGGAGTTTTAGCCGTCATCATTATTACCCTGGATCTCACACCACTACAGGATAAACTCCACAGTTCCTAGCATGACTACAAGGCCCTCCACCCTGCAGCCCCCACCTTCTGCTAGACTTTCTTGCTGGTCCATTGCTGACAGGCAGCTGTGCTCTGGCCTCAGGGACTCCATCCCTGGCCCCTTCCTAGAGCATCCCCTGATGCACATCTGTGGATCCTGCAAGCTTCGCATGGCCAGGCTTATCCCCACTCTTTCCTTCTCCAGCCCACAGGTCAATCTCCTGCGATGCTTTCTCCACCCCTTCACGCAGAGTTTATTTTCTTCTCTAAACTACCAGAATCTTTTGTTAATATCCTTGTTAGAGGGTTTATTGGGTGCTCTCATAATTACAGCCAACTATAAACTCCTAGAGGTCAAGAGCTGGTTTTATCATTCTTCGTATCTCTAGTATCTTCCCTAGTCCCTGATAGATGCTACATAATCAATAACTATGTGTTGACCAAATAGATGATTAAGTCAGCATTATGTTTTAAATTTTATTTAAGTTCACAAAAAGACAACATATTATGACACAAAACTGTTAATAGTTCCTTAAATCCAGGCAGTGAAATTACAGGTAATTCTTATTATAATATTTAAACTTTTCTTCATTTCCTAAATTTCATAACACAGCAATAATCATAGAAAATAAAAGAGTGAGAAAAACCTGGGAGGGTTTATTTATTTAACATTTCAGATAATCAAACAATGTTAAGTACTAATATTAGTGTTGGCCTCTCCTGCTAAATATTATGGGAACTTACCATTGCTTACATGAATGTATGGATTAGTGCAATAAAAATTACATTGGAATTCTCTAGATCTTGATGTATGTTTTCTTAATTTATTCTGACCTAATTCATTAGCTTAAGTGGTTCATACATTTCACAGCTATAAGTCTTGTTCGCTCATCTGGGAATAAATCTGGTAGTATATGCTGACACTTACTAAAATGTAACAATATGATTCTATTTTTCTGTTAGAGACCTTTAGCCCAGAAAAAACTCCCATTAAAAAAAAAAAGAAGAAACAGGTTTTTCATATAAAGAAAAAAAAAAAAAGGCTTCAGTACAATTGGCATCTTGAATGTCATGGCCAAAAACTAGAGTTCCATGAAACTGGGTACAGATCTCATTATGAGCATAAAAACAACACACGCTCTTAAATACAATGCAAAATTTCCTGCTGATTAAAAATACAAACAACAATGAACAAAGCATAATATGAGTACAGGAAAAACCCATCTATGGATTCTATGCTTTAGTTATGTAACATTTTCACATTAGGGCAGGTTCTAATGTTGATCACCATCATGACCAGAAAGAGTTGCACCAACATGAACAAGAGGTCCCTAAGATATTAAGCTCCATTAATTCTTCTCTGTGTAGGCAGTTAGGGTCGGACAAGTACAGGAGGGATGGACTTATTATAATGAGGCCTGGGATGGTTTCTTTTATAATAGTCTATATTGTGCAGAAAAAAATACATTATACTTACAAATATTTGGCACATAGTAGATGGATAATCAATATTAACTAATTAACAATCCTATGGCGCAGGAAGATTTTTCATAAGCATGTTGTGGTGACAGTGACTTCTCACATGAGGCCAGCTGTCTATCTCACCCACATCCTGTGACCTGCTTCTACCCCACTGGTTCTACCCCACTGACCTTCTTCTACCCCACTGTGACTAAGGCACTCCTCTCCACATGCTATATGGTCTGCATGTTTGTGACCCTCCAAAATTCATGTTAAAACCTAATTTCCATTATGGGGATGTTAAGAAGTGGGCCTTTGGGAGATGATTAGGCCACGAGGGTGGAGTGTGGAGCCCTCATCAATGGGATTAGTGCCCTTATAGAAGAGGCCTGAGAGAGCTCATCTGCCACTTTCACTATGGGAAGTCACAGCAAAAAGACACAATCCTTTACAAACAAGGAAGTGGGCCCTCATCCTACACCAAATCTGCCAGCGTCTTGATCTTGGACTTCCCAGCACCTTCCCAGCACCCAGAACTGTGAGAAATAGATGTTGTTGTTTGTAAGATACTGAGTTTATTAAGTTTTATTATAGCAGCCTGAAGGGACCAAGACACCATCTTCACAGTGACCGCCTCCAGCTACTTTAATCATGGGACAGCTTCCTCCTCCCCATCCAATTTGCACACAGGGGTCAGCCCCAGTCAGTGCCTCCCCTGCAGCCACAGCAATGTTTGGCTGGGCTTGGAACACCACCTGCTAAAAAATGACCATCCCTTGGGTTTCACTGTGAAATCTTATTAATGTCAGCATTGTATGTTTCCGATGTTCCAATGTAATGGAAGCAAAATTCACTAAGGATTGTTCTTCAAGGGTCAGCATGCCCAATATGTAACCTGTCTTACCACACAGAGAGACAGGTTCATTTACGTCTCTTTAAAAATGGTTCTTCTGCTTCAACCACTAGGGATTCTCAACTCCCAGAAGAAAGTGAAGGACTGATCATGCTTTTATCTGCTGCAGTGTTGGTAACAACAGCTGACTGTGGGATGATCACTGTTTCTACATGTGGTGTGAGGAGCCTCCATCTATTAACTCATATCATCTGGATGCAGTGATGTCATTAGTCCCGTTTCACCATCCAGGTAACTGAAGTCACAGAGCTGGAAAGCAGCAGCAGTGGGGGTCACGTGAGCCCAGCCTGCAGCGCACAGGCTCTCAGCCCCCAGCATGCTGCCCCTTTGCAGAACGGGCCCTGAGAAATGGGAAGCTTTTGGTTTTCAAGAGTCTCTGGATCTCAGTCTGGCATCCAGTGACATAGGAATGTGTGTTAGAGATGACTGAAGATCTGAGAGACATAAGCGATGTGGCAGAAGTATTTCACAATTTTGACCTCATAACTTCTTTTCTGTTTTGAAGCCCTGGGTGTTGGCAGGTATAGAACAATAGAGTGGCTTCAAAGAAGTGACTCTCCGGGTACTATCCTCTGTGCGCTTCCCAGAGCCCAGCTGTGTTCAAGCCAGGACTTTAGGAGAGGAGGTAGGAGATAATGAAGGGACGTGATTAGCTTTGTGGGACAGCCACAAACTGGGTGGCTAGAAACAACAGAAACGCATCCTCTCGCAGTTCTGGAGCGGGTGTTGGTGGAGCTGCTTCCTTCTGGAGGCTCTGAGGGCAAATCTGTTCCACCTTCTCTTGTGGTTTCGGGTGGCTGCCAACAACCCTTGGCATTCCTTGGTGTGTGGACTCATCATTCCGATCTCTGCCTCTGTATGCATGTGAGTCTCCTCTCTGTGTCTTTGTGTCCCTTCTCTTCTTATAAAATACACCAGTCAAGCTGGGCGCAGTGGCTCACGCCTGTAATCCCAGCACTTTGGGAGGCCGAGGCGGGTGGATCATGAGGTCAGGAGATCGAGACCATCCTGGCTAACATAGTGAAACCCCGTCTCTACTAAAAAATACAAAAAATTAGCCGGGCGTGGTGGCGGGTGCCTGTTGTCCCAGCTACTCGGGAGGCTGAGGCAGGAGAATGGCATGAACCCGGGAGGCAGAGCTTGCAGTGAGCTGAAATAATGCCACTGCACTCCAGCCTAGCAACAGAGCGAGACTCTGTCTCAAAAACAAACAAACAAACAAACAAAACCCACCAGTCACATTGAATTTTGACCCACCAAATCCAGTATGACCTTATCTTACCCTGATTACACCTGCACAGACTCTATTTCCAAATAAAGGCACATTCATGGGTGTTGGGGATTAGCACTTCAACATTATCTTTTTGGGGGACATAATTCGACCCATAACAGGAAATGAAGTGTTTTTTCGTGTGTTTTCTTCATGTTTGTTTTTTTCCCTCAAGCACTAAAAAATAATGCAATTTGGCTCCTGACAACATGAATCTAAAATCTAATTCTGTGAGCAGGACTCTCTGAGCCCGGGCGCAGATGGGATACCTGCATGGGGAGGGGCTTGTGTCTTGCTCTCAGAAACATAATAAACCAAGAGATTCTGCTGCATTTTCAACACATCTCTAAGAATAGGCAGCAGTGCACCTCCTTCTTAGTGTTGGCAGTGAGGCTGACGTGACAGTCTGAATGGTACATGCGTCCCAGGAACCTCATGTCATGGTAACAGAGGCTACAGCACCTCACACTGAAATAAGACGGGCTCAGACCCCCCACTGCAACCGGCTGCATTGTCACCTTCTGGGGTACACATCCGCGGCATGGAGCTTCTTTATTCTGTTATCATCCAGGCTATGAGTCGGAGTATTCAACATTTTAATGCTCCATATATCAATAAATTAAGTGTGATGCTGGATGGATGTGACATTTTCAATATTCCACAGTATGACTGACGGGCTACCGTAGTTCCTCCCCTGTTTGTAATTTGAGTAATCTGGATGGGGGACATGAACTGGCCGGCCAATAAAAGTGAAGACTAGTGGAAAGAGCAAAGTCATAAAGCAAGCATGGTCCTTCAGAGACTGTATTAAAAGATTATCGTTTTGTATATCATTGTTTTTTCTTTCCAGAGCATGTAATCATAAACTGAAAAGAGAAGAGACAAAATGTAATGTTGACCAGAATAAACAACGCTGTGTTCATCACTTAATGTTATTACCCAGTCCCTTGGTTGTCTTGTCCTCTGTTTGTTATCATTTTCGAGGGTTTTATTCTAGACACATTTTTTGGTCTCAGTCAGATTTAGTACAGACTAATATAAAGTTCTGCTGCTCCACAGTGGTAGCCGACGCTTCTGGAAACTGCAGTGAAATCTCATGAACTCGATAGAGTTCACTCTTGCTTGGAGCGGTCCACACACTTCCTTTGTTTAAGCAGCAATGATATGTCATGCCAAGCTGAGTTCAACTTTCTTGGTAACTCTTGAAGACAAATCAACCACACTAATAAATTATTCGACCTGCAGGTTATATGAGTAACAATGGACCACCCTAAACTCTAGGCAGCACAGTCTGATTTCCAACAAAAGACAGGAGATGCAGATAACGTGTAGATACTAAATGTATAAATTGTATTGTAATTCTGATAGGAAAATAAAACCCCAAACCCTGAACACCATTAATTCACCATATGTCAACTTAAAAAAATGTGAATGCTAGATAATAAAACTTTATGCCCATGTAAATGTCTAAACACAATTTTAATAACTATAAATAATGTAGAGATTTATTTCTTATTCATTTTAACAAGCTTTTCACTGAACTATGATATGGTATTCTAATATTAATCTTAAAGATATCCCAGCATATTCTCAACTTAAAATTTAAAATATGGCTGGGTGCAGTGGCTCATGTCTGTAATCCCAACACTTTGGCAGGCCAAAGCCAGTGGATCACCTGAGGTCAGGAGTTCGAGACCAGCCTGGACAACATGGTGAAAACCCGTCTCTATGAAAAATACAAAAATTAGCTGGGTGTGGTGGCAGATGTCTGTAATCCCAGCTATTTGGGAAGGTGAGACAGGAGAATCACTTGAACCCGGGAGGTGGAGGTTGCAGTAAGCCGAGATCACACCACTGCACTCCAGCCTGGGTGACAGAGCAAGACTCCATTACACAAAACAAAACAAAACAAAAATTTAAAATACGATGAAATAAGGCCTTTCCTGTACTAAACTATGAGCAATTTATTTCACAAGAACTCTTGAGTCTCTGACCTATTCTAGAATCATCCAAAATTGAAATTATTATAAAGTGTTTTCTATGAATTTCCTACCCACCAGGCATCAAATGACAGTATCAATGGAACATGCACAACCGAAAAGGATCTCGGCCAGCACTGATGAGATCCTTCATAACTATAAAGCAACAGGACTGATGAACCACACAGTGAATCCAGCCACATAACTTCATAATCACCCGTGCAGAACACACTTCTGGAATGCTGTCCACTCGGCCCGGCACTCCCCTGAGGACTAGGGATAGAGAGTGAATCGTAGGGAGATGGTCTCCACCCTCACACACACTCATCCAAGAAGGCAAGACAGAGCCCACCATGCACACCGCAGGAGACAAACATGGAAACCCAAGTCCCATGGGGATAAGTGTGCGGGGTGGGGGCTGGGAATGCCTGGAGAAGGAGGCAAGTCCTCAGAGAAGACCACTGATGATAAAGTTGCTTTTCAGCAGAGACCTAAATGAAGTCAGGTGTGAGCCTTCTGGAAACTGGGAAAGGGTTCCAGGCAGAAGGAACAAGGGAGCAAGACCCTGACGGGAAGCAGATTGAGGTTTGAGAGAAAGGCTTGAAAGGATGGCAGTGACTCAGCAGGGGCCAGGGCACATTGGCCAGGCACCCATTTTAACTACTTTGGCTTATTCCAAGGGAGCTGAGAAGCCATTGGAGTCTGAGCAGAGTTGGGACGTTATTTGACTTCAATTTTAAAATGACTGCTCTGGCATCTGTTTGGAGACCAGGCTGGAAGGAGAAGCAGCAGAGAAGTGGGGAGGTGGAAGATCAGCTGGGGGCTGTTGCAGTAATCCAGGAAACAGCCCATGGTGGCTTGGGCCACGGTCCAAGCCATGGTCAGATTGTGGAAGGTGTTTTGAAGGAATTGTCTGCAGGATTTGCTGATGGGTAGGTAGCATGTGTGGTGTGAGAGCAAGAGAGGAGTCAAGATAACTTGGAGATGATGCTTGTGTCCATTTATGGAGGTGATGATGACTGAAGCAAAAGAAGGATCACACATTCATATTTGGCATTATGAAGCAGGAGACACCATTAGGAACTATGGGGAAGTCAGGGTGGCAGCTAGAGGTTTAATTTTGGGGATCAAGGGTAAAGTTGGAGCTAAAGCTATACATTTTGGAATTATCAGCATATGGTGAGTATTTAAGTCAATGATGCAAGGATAAGACTACCTACGGAGGGAATACAGACTGGGAAAAAAGAAACAAAGGGGGAGAAGGGGTCTAAGACTAAGCCCCAGGGAATCACAACGTTTAGACTGAGTTCTGGGCTGGGAGTTAAAGAAGAACCACAAGATCATATAATATCATGAAGTATCCTAAGTATGAACTGAAGGCTTATCAGCTGTCAACATAGTAGACTGGCTGTCAAAGGATGGCTTTGCTGTATAATTGTTTTATTTTTAATCTAGTATCTCAAATAAATAAATTTAAATAAATTGCTCTGTAAATTTTAAATTACCACACTCATCTGCATTATCATTACTGCTCCTATAGTCTCTATTAGGTTAACCACAGTTGGTGGCTGTTCAAGGATTTACTCCAATAATGATTATGTTTCCTTTATTTTAAAATGCACATTTTTCCCACATTTTAACATCCCTGAAATCACAATGTATCATACAATTGACAGCATCTTAGAACTATAATTTTTTAAAAATTTAAATTTTAGATTCAGGAGGTACACGTGCTTGTTTGTTTCATGGATATTACATGCGTAATTGTGGGGGTTGGGCTTCTAATGTACCCATCACCCTAACACTGACATTTATGATCAGAACTGATGCTATTTTTTCCTTCTTAGAGGAATACACAAAAAAGATACATCATATAATCTGTGACATCTCAGCTCTGATCAAATAAAATATGTATTTCTAAAGTCACAGCTCTGTTCTATTGTCTTTGGTTGATGTACAAGTAGAAGAGTTGGTCTCTGCACAGCTGCCCTCTGGGGCTAGTGTCTACTGGGATGATGAAGAGTCAAGGGTAGGAAGGAGGCAGCGCCAAGGAGCCCCTTGTGGGCAAGCCTCTTGACAGTCACCGTATTTTGCCCAGGGCTTGCTATTGATTAGCTCTGGGTGTCATACACCTCCAGTGACTTTTGCCTTAGCAAGAAGACAGATACAGTTGGAAACTTACACAAGGGCTTGCTCTGGTTTCATTCTCCAGGCATTCTTTTCCCCTGGAGTCATACATCCCTGAAGAATAGAAGCCGTGTCTCTATTACCTTTTAATCCCCAGAACTGAGCACAATGCATAAATATAGCTGGTGCTCAATAACCATTTTATTTAAATTGAAACCCAACTCCCCAGTATTTGGAAAGACTTGTGGCCTACAACCTCAGAGGAAATGTACAACAGATTCCCTCCCTGGGCTGCGGTAGTTGAAGATCACCGACTAACTACGGTCACATAAGGTATCATGTCTGAGTGCCCAGTACTAGATCCTGGTGTAGTCTCCATGGAAACATAGAGAGGAGCGCTTGTATCCTTGCAGAGAAACAACAAATGCATCCTTTATAATGATAATAAAATGCAGCATTTATAGAGAGGATAATCACCTGTGTTATGAAACAGGCAATTTAATAACTCTGTCTGATAAAAACGCAAAGACAACTGTGATGCTGTATTTTACTTCTGGGGGTGTCGGCATCTGAGTTCACGGGCAGTGGTGTGAGCAGCAAGAATGAATCTTCTTCATCTCCTTGTCAACCTGTTATATGCTCTCTTGCTGCTTACTATGCCGTTTTGTCTTTTTCTCCTCATTATATTCCCCAGCTCATACATCCTAACCTACTATTCCACTTATTTCTTCCTTTACATCATGACCTGTAGTCTATATTCCTCACAAGAAGGTCCTCAAGGAATTACAAAGGACTTTTAGAAATAAAGACATAAAATATTTTTTACAGTTCCTGCGGAAGGCTTTTTGTGAAGATTGTGCTTTACATGTATTAAAAACACCTCTGAGAGTAGCCATAAAAGTAAATTTGAAAATGCATTTGAAATGTAAATAGTGTTTGCAGCACTCAGGTGAGGCTGCTTCAGGTCACATGTAGCAAGAGCTCTGCTTAAGTCTTGAGTTATCTTTTCCTTCCAGTTTCCTGAATTATGTGACCTCTGAGAGGCACTCTGAGTCCTAAATGGGTAGTACTCGGCAGTGACTACGATTCCTAAACAATTCCTGTCCTCTCTTTCACTCCAGGATCTTCCAAGCCTGCAGCCCCTGGCTGCACTCTGGTGCCACTAGAAACTGTGGGCCATGAAGGAGAGATGCTGGCCTGGGTTCGTACTTGGCCACCCAAGAGAAGTAGGATGTAGTGCTATCTAACAATGTCTCTCCAACAAGGAGTTCTTGAGTCTCTTTTAATCAGGGACCCACTACATTAATTTGCATAATCTGATCTGGAGTTCAATAGATCAATGATTCAAGGTAAAGAAAGCTCCTGCAGCAGTTCCTAGCCCAGCCATTTCCTAGCCAGCTAAAATGCCTTGGAGCTCAGGTCAGCAAACTGGCTCTGATCTAAGAATGGTTTTTACTTTTTCAAATGGTTGGGAAAAAATTTCAAAGAATACTATTTCATGATGACAGAAAATAATATAAAATTCAAATGTCAGTGTCTGTAAGTAAAGTCTGATTGGAACTCAGCAGCCTCACTCATTCGTTCATGGACTGTCTAGGGCTCCTTTTGTGCTGCGACAGCGTGGTTGAGTAGCTGGGACAGAGACCCTATGGCCTGCAAAATCCAAAATACATAATATTATCTGGCTCTCTGCAGGAAAAGCCTGCAGACCCTTGCCTTAGATTGGCAGGCCTAGTCAAAGGCTGGCCTGTTTTGGGGACTTTCCAGCAATCTGGTTTCATGTAGGGTGCTGCTGTGAGACATGCTGATTGAATTCTGAAGGACAGGGTGAGACACAAGCAGGGAATAACATTCTGAGAAAAAAAGTTGGCTCTGTCAGACTACAGGGATGAGAAAAAAACAGCTCCTTGGTGGTGTAATTAGTAGTTTAAGTAGCTTTGTCTGCAATGATGCTAGAGTAATCTGCGGTCTTTCATCATGTTCAAGGAGAATGCACAAAACCACTCAGCTCACTATAATTGCAAATAGCCCTTAATGAATATATATTTGCTTTGGCTCCTCTGCTCTATTTTACATCAATTCTTGTGATTTTCCAAGTCATAAAATGCCCCAGATGCCTTTCACTAAGGCATTTTCACCTGGATAAAAAGATGTAAACAGATTAGACCATTTCTAGGTGAGTTATCCAGGAAACAGGGGTGATACAAGTGGATTATCTATTTTCCGATCTGGAAAAGTAGGAGTGATATAGAAGAGAATCAATAGTTCTCTACAATGAAATCTTAGCCTTGGAGAAGTGTTTGGTGAGGGGGGTGAAGATGGGGGAAGTGGCATTGCGAGAGATGCAGTTACTCACTGATGCCTTGCATGGTATCACATGATGTCACATGACACTGTATGATATCACAAATAGAAATGCGGACTCTGATGAGCTAGAACTGAGTGTCGGCTTCTCCGTTGCCATGCAGCCCAAGGTAAACCACTGACTGCTGCAAGCCTTGGTTTCCTTGTCTGTGAAGTGGTAGCACGAAGCCAGCACTGCTGTGACCTCCCAATGAGGTAGACGGAGCAAGGGTGCCTTCTATGCTGGCAGCTGGTGCTCACCTCGGCAGCACACACACTGCACTGGTGGATGGGAACTTCTATGACTGACGCCAAATAGCACACTGAAATTTGAACACAGTGTTTATGATCCTGAGGTTGAAATTTTAAAAAATTTCTCAATGGCAAGCATCAACCTCAGGACACTAAGTGGAGAAAGTGAGATGTTATTACCAAATCTCAAGCTTGACTAACATTAAGGTGCTTGACTTGAATCAGTGTTTCTAAAAGAAAATGAAAACTTCTCCTTCACTGTGACTCACAAATAACCAGTAAACAAGAATAATATGTTATAGAGGTGAAACCAGCTACTCATGGACTCAAATTTTCAGTTGTACTGAAGTGAACTGGGCAAAAAATCTTTTAAGAACTGCCTCCAGGAGTGTTGGCTATTTTGTAAATAGTCAAGGATGATGGTTTTCAGACTGTCTAGATAACCTTAACCTCACCATGAAATGCAAATTATTTGCTTTAAATGGCAAAAAGTAGAAAAGCTCTATTTTGAATGGTATTTTGTTTTTAAAATACTCTTACTCTTTAAAGTAAGAGTCAAGAAATAAAAGACATTTATTTGGGCTTAGAACACAATTTATCTGAGATTTTATGGTAATAACAATACTGAATCACTTTTTTTTTTTTTTTTTTTTTTTTTTTTTTTTGGTGAACCACAGGCCCATAAGATCCTGGCTCTAATTCTGGCTTTACCATTCCTAGCTGTATGAGAATTGGAAAATTCCTTAATTTCTCTGAGGCTCTTCATTTTCTTCTATACAATGGGGACAAGTGTAATAATGGTATTAACAAAGTGGATGTAAACATGAAATAAGATAATAAGTGTAAAGCTCTTACCACAAATTAAGAGCATAAAAAGTTATCAGAAATGGTCATGTATCCTTGGTTATAAATACAGGTCATATATCAATTCTGGCATTTATTTAAGCAAAAAACCTTTAAATTCCACTCTTATTTTGGTGCCTGATTTTTTTTTTTTTTTTTTTTTGAGACAGAGTCTTGCTCTCTCACCCAGACTGGAGTGCAGCAGCACAATCTCAGCTCACTGCACCTCCCGGGTTCAAGCAATTCTCCTGCCTCAACCTCCCGAGTAGCTGGGGTTACAGGTGTGCACCACCATGCCTGGCTAATTTTTTTGTATTTTTAATAGAGATGGGGTTTCACCACATTGCCCAGGCTAGTCTTGAACTCCTGAGCTCAGGCAATCCACGCACCTTGGCCTCCCAAAGTGCGGAGATTACAGGCATGAGCCGCTGTGCCCAGCCTAGGTGCCTGATTTTATTTTTAAAAATTAATTTTCAGGCATGGCAACAAATAAAGAAAAAACACACCCATTTCACGATGCTTATTGGTGACCCCCAGGAGAAGTGAATTGAGCTATTTGAGGGAAGGACAGACACACACACGCACATGCATGTGTGTGCAGGTGCACATGTCTCTAAACATAGTATAAATAGATTATGCCAACCAGCACAGCTCCAGATGAGAGTGTCTGATGCCACAGCGGCACATCATGAGCAGTCACCCTTCACTCAACTTCTAGCTTGAATAGAGGACAGAGATTTCAGGAGCATCGCCAAGTGATGGGTTTGGGCCTGGCAGATGTGATTCTGAGTAGCTACTGCAGCTTCGGTGCCTATAGGACTAATACTGCAGAGATACAGTGTTTTATCTTTCAAAGCCAGTACATTCCAGGGAGGCTGTATCCTGGGGCTGCTAAAGACGCCTGCAAGACTGGCCTGGAAGAAATCCTGGGAGGGTCTGCTTCAGGCCACTGAGCTAGGCTGGAAACACCTGGGACAGCGCGCCTCTGACCCCTGAGCCACACTCGGGAGGAACCCCACACTCTGGCAACAAGGACTGGGAATGTCCTAGTTAGGCCTCCCTCCCTCCACCACAGCCTCGGAAGGTACTTCCCGCTTGGGCTCTTTCTTGGCAAGCTGGAGTTTCAAGTCTTTTTTTTTTTTTTTTTTTTTTTAAACACCAACCTAGACATCTCTAGACAGTACAAAAGTACTGGAAAATGGGGAAGCAAGTTTTAATAATAGGTACCTTTGGTTTATAATAGAACCACCCCCCCCCCTTTTTTTTTTTTAAGAAACAGGATTTAAAGAAAAAATGTTTTCAGTTCAGAGCCAGCTTTTTTTTTTTTTTTTTTTTTTTTTTTTTTTGAGATGGAGTCTCACTCTGTCACCCAGGCTGGAGTGCAGTGGCACGATCTCAGCTCACTGCAAGCTCCGCCTCCTGGGTTAACACCATTCTCCTGCCTCAGCCCCCCCAGGAGCTGGGACTACAGGCGCCTGCCACCAGCCTGGCTACCTTTTTTTTATTTTTAGTAGAGACGGGGTTTCACCGTGTTAGCCAGGATGGTCTCGATCTCCTGACCTCATGATCTGCCCGCCTCAGCGTCCCAAAGTGCTGGGATTACAGGCATGAGCCACCGTGCCCTGGCCAGAGCCAGCCATTTTTAAGTGGGACAATTCCAGTACAATTGGCCTTGTTGCTGGGCAAAGACACTAGGATTCATTGTGCTATTCTAAATAAACTTTTCGATCAAGAGATGGAAATGCACAACACATCATAAAGGATGTGAAGGAACATTTCCCCCTTTCTCCTTAATTAGAGCACTTGGTATTTGTGATGAATTAGGCTGACTCGGTAACCTACAGGACATAAATCTGCAGAACAATTCTATTTTCCAATTGCTAGCTAGGTTAACACGCCTTAATAAACAAATAAATATCTCCATATGGACTATTATCCAAAGCAATTGTGAATCCTTGCAGTACGGGGCAGCGTGTGGTGGTGACATCCTGTGAATGGCCGAGTTCTGAGGCCGTCCTCGAGCGTCCATTTGAGTAGTGGCCTAAATGAGGGGTGCCCTTCACGGATGGAATAAGGTAACATTTTGATTAATGCAATGAGCATGCTGCTGAATGTTACAGTCAGTATTAAAATGGCATGTGCTAATTTAAAATCTTAGTTGTCATTAGATTAGAGTGCAAAGGAGAGCCACCTTTTGAGAAGACTTACTTCATCTCAGGGGGCAGAAACAAGCCTGTCTCTGTTTGCCACTGCAGGTGTCTGGCCAACAATGCTTGGGCTCTGAAAACATCCTGAAATACATATATATATATATATATATATATATATATATATATATATATATATATATTTTTTTTTTTTTTTCTTTTCCTAAAACAACATGGAAAGGTACTAAGCAGCTTACTTGTGGAAATGTATAAAACTAAATCAAAGACTTTAATACAACTGCAAAAAGTCACAAAGTGGAAAAAGGGCAGAATTGAAAAGCAATGTGATTCATGTCTGGTAATAGGTTTTTGAGTTTTTAAAATTTTTTAAATTTTTTATTTTTTGAGACAGAGTCTTGCTCTGTTGCCCAGGCTAGAGTGCAGTGGCACAGTCTCTGCTCACTGTAACCTCTACCGCCTGGGCTCAAGTGATTCTCCTGCCTCAGCCTCCCCAGTAGCTGGAATTACAGGCACCTGCCACCACGCCCAGTGAATTTTTGTATTTTGAGTAGAGACAGGGTTTTTGCCATGTTGGCCAGGCTGATCTTGAACTCCTGACCTCAACTGACCTGCCCACCTGTGCCTCCCAAAGTGCTGGGATTACAGGCCTAAGCGACTGCACCCAGCCTTGTTAATAGGTTTTTAAAGATGGGTATGCTTTTGTGGCCAAAATGCAAAAGACGTATTTTTGTCAGCAACTAAATATTATTTGGAATTTCTTCTCATGATCTCTAGAAAATACTTGATCAGGAAAAATAACTTAAGTTATCATTTTTACCTTTTTCCAATTGCAACTCTTTTTAAAGAGTCCAAGTAAATCTTTTTTTTTTTTCTCCTGATTGTCTTTGGAAGTATTGATCCAGAAATACTTCATTTCAATGGTTACAAGTAACAATAAATTTAAAATAGCATCTGATTTCCTACAATGCTCATTTCTGTATTTATTTGAAAATGAGACTTGCAGGGAGCCATTATCCACACTGTGCTTTGACGCCAGGTGGCTTCGCTCCTGGTTCTGATGGGCAGCTCAAGTGGCGCTGGAGCTTTTGCTGGCCACACACTCACTGGAGGACCCTGTGTCAGACAGTGCATGGCCGATGACACAGCTGTGGTCAGGACCTGCCGCTGCCCTTTGGAGCTCACAGTCCCAAGGGGTAGGCAGATATGTGTGGCCAGATAATGTACTAAGTCACACTGTGTTCACCTGAAGTTCTCGTTCTTCATGCCAAAGGGCATAGAGCCCTTTGTACCTGTGCAGAGGACGTCTGCAATGCCAAGAGCAAAGGGCTCCTGCAGATAGACCAGGGACCGCCTCCTGGGTTCTGTGAAAGCCGCAGTTCCCCAAGTCTCCTGGACTCCTGAGAGGAAAGAGAGAGTCAGGGACGAGTGGCTGTGAGGAGAAGAGAGAGGACAGGGTAAAGACGGCAGATACCAAAAGAGGAAGAAAGGACCAGCGCTCTGCACGCACTGGGCTCAGCTCCCTGGAAGCCCCCATGGGAGGTGGCCAGGTGTCCACAGGGAGGGCTGCCCAATGGGCCCCACGAGGCAGCTCCACTGGGCATGGCAGCAGTGGAGCAACCACTTGGGAACACACAGGTGTGGAAAAGGGCAACATCCAGAGATTTTTCGGATTCCATAGAGGCCTCCCTGAGGCTTGGGTGATGCCGGGGAGGAAAAGAGAGCCGGGAATGCTGAGATGGAATTTGCTGGTCAGCCAAGAGTCAGATTTAATTTGATTTTAAGAAACTAAAGAAGTATGGCATTTCTTGCACATTTAAGTTTGTGGTTTAAATTTTGAACTCACCAAAACATGTACAGAAATGGTTAGGGTGCATTGTGAGGACTGAGGAACAAGACTACCCTGGGCAGAGGCAGGAGTGAGATCGGAGCTGGGGAAAGGCCTCCTGTGGAGGGGCTGCGGGGAGCAGGCTCTTGAGGGTAGAGTGCAAGGGGGTTGGGTGGAGAAAGATGGGGGGCATTCTCAGGCACTGCGTTCAGGAGAAGGGCCCTGGAGGTGAAACAAACAGCTTCTCTTTTGTCTTCTGTGGTTTCTCAGCCTTTCATTCGGAAACACTTGGCAACATGGGAGGGAGCAGAGGGCCGCTCTGCAAGACGCGAGGCCTGGTGGGAAGCCAGGCGAGAGGAGCAGAACATGGCCACAGCATGAAGAACCATCCCTGCACCACACAGTAGAGGGTGAGCAGATGCCTGGATGCACCCCAATCCCCCAGCAAAGCCCTGAGCTGCTTTGAGCCTCAGTTACCTCGGTGGCCCAATGGAGACTGCACTGTCTCCCGGCAAGGCTGCTGGGCAGCTCACGGAAAGGACAACTGTAAGATACAGGTGTTTTCTGCCTGGCGGTGGTGAGGGCTCCTCACATTTTTCTTTTATCCTAAAAGCAACAAGGAGCAGCAGCAGTTTTTAGGGAGGAGCATGCATGGCACGACCTACGTGCCCTTTACTCATCTGGCAAGGGCCCAAGCTGAGTGAAATCTGACATCGTAGTAGAGCAGGTCCTTTGGGCCTATGAGGAGGCAGAAGGGAAGGAAGAAGGACGGCTTCCCTGGTGTTGACTCAGCAATAAAGCTTTCACCTGCAGAGAAGGGTCGGGATGCTGACAGCAGCCCACTGATTGCAACTCAGTCTCTCTTGTTCCAGTTTCCCAGACGCGTCTGGGTCCTGGGAAAAGAGGACTGGAGTGTCAAAATGGGGAAGAATCATTTCATTCTAATCTGCACTCGATCTTAGCCAAAAGTCTGAGAAGCAATTTCCATTCTAATTGTAAAACAAGTGGCAAGAGCTAGGCATCTCTGGGACTCCTTTAACAGAAGACGAACAAAGGGGAAGACCATTGCCTCTTTCTCTCAATCCCTTTCCTCTCCCCTCAGCTCAGAGCTCCAGGTGGCTCCAGCAGCTCTGACATCACCTGCACCCATAGCGCTTGACAGGGCAGCACCTGAACGCTTGTAAGTCAGACCTGACAGGAGCACCTGTGCTGCTTGGCAGGGTGGTGTGGGGCGAACTGGAGTGAATCTGTCCTTGGGTACATGGAAAACATACTCTAAGGACTCCTGAAATTGAAGAAGGCTTACTGCTGTGACCATGGCCATATTGATAGCTGTAGGCAGGCTGTTGGGGTGTGGTGAGACGGGCATTATAAGACAGGGATAGCAGTGGCACAGAAGGATTGATGTGGACAAAGAGCCACAGCAAAAACACCAGCGAGAAGACAGCTGCCATGATTTAAATGAGAGAATATAGGGCTCTGAAATTTAAAAACTGACAAAGGTGACACAAATTCTTCACTTAAATTTCATATCCCTGAATTATCTGCATAAAACAAAGGGTAAAAGGGAGAAGGTGGATTTTAATCTTAGCATGGAAACACCCACATTTAAATGTAAAGATGTGAATATATTCTAAGTATTTTAAAAAGATATATTCAAAATAATTAAAATGTTTCTCATTTTAAAGAAATAAGATGTCAGATGAAAGATGTTGGACAGTTATTCTTGAAAGTGGTCTAAGATTGTTTACAAATCATGTCTGCTTGGAGAAAACATTTTTCAAAAAAATTTATTTAAAAAAAATTTTCATTTTAAGGCTGTTAAAAAAATTTATTTATTATTACAACTTTTTTTTGTAGAGATGAGGGTCTTACCATGTTGCCCAGGCTGGTCTCAAGCAATCCTCCCACCTTGGCCTCTCAAAGTGCTGGGATTACACGTGTGAGTTACCCACCGTGCCCAATCTCAAAAAAATATTTAATAAGAGGAAAATCCATGTATTGGCTCCTATCAATCACTGCCCACTATTCAGCCTTTCTCCCCAATTGACTAAGAAATTTATGTCACATGATAGAAGTGAAGAAAAATTAAGTATATTCACGTTATATCTAAAGCTTTGTATAATATCTAATTATTCCAACACCAATAAAATCTGTTATCACCTATTAGAGGGAAAAAATGTCCACTATTTAGAAAATGTATAGAGAAATGACCTGGAAATAATGACCATTCTAAAGACACATGTAAATATCTATAGTTTTAAAGCATATTTTAAAATGAGATAATTTAACAAATAAGAGTTACAATGATAAAACAACAATTATTTCACTAAAGTCTATATTTTAGGTCATAGAAAGTGCTTTTTTAAAAGGAAAAAAAAAAAAACATTCCTGTGCAGCATTTTACAGATTTCAAAGCATCATTAAACAACTGAGAAGTGAATTTCTTTTCAGAACAGGAGAGGCCATGCATCTCTTACACCACATCTCCATCTATTTCATCAGCAGTTGTGTTAAAATTCCTAGATGAGGGATCAGAAAGCTTTGGAACTTGAAATCAGTTTGTCCTCAAGACTGGTGGTTAACATGATATCATTGACTATTGGAAACAACTGAAAAACTCTTTTTTTTCCTATTAGAACATCGAATACTTCTACAGAATATTTCTATTCTATGTTCTAATGTAAAAATATTCATTTTTTAAATTTTTTAATTCTTTTAAGGCTTTAAATTTTGACAGGTTTGCCAGTACTCTTGCTCGGCAGTTTTTTCTACTTCATCTGTTAGTCTGCCCTCCTCCCTGTCTGGAATGATCTGCATAGAAAGGATTGTGCAAATTCTCATCGGCCACAAACGTTCTGCTCACATGTACCAGATGACCCTAGTGCCTTGCAAGAAACTTGAGACCCATCGCATGATTTCTCCAGAATCAGATCCAACAGGATGCACTGCTCCTGCTGAACAACTAAGAAACGTTATTTTCAACCCCAGCTTGAAAACTTGATAGATAGTGTTTTCTTATTAGTAATGACCCACTGGCTAAGCCCTTTTCAGACATCTAACAGGTCATGAGTATGTGATTATCATGCTCAAATTTACACATATGAGGGGCCCTAGTATGGTTTCTCTCTTTCTATATAGTGCAAAAACCTAACGATTAAATATTGATTTAAAAGAGTGTTTGGAGCTCAGGCAGTAATTGTGCAGCCCGGTTCCTAACAGGTCACAGCCAAGTACGAGCCTGAGGCTCAGGGGCTGGGGACCCCTGATGTATACCACTGGCGAGGGACTCTAATAATGGGAAAGACTACACATGTATGATGGATATGAGGGCAAAGGGTATATGGGGTATCTCTGTACCTTCCTCTCAACTTTGCTGTGAACCCAAAACTGCTGTAACAAATTAAGGTCTTAAAATACATATATTACTTCTCTTCATCACTGAGGTTTCTGATACCCCCTTAAATTTTGTACTCCAGGCCAATGCCTCAGCAACCTCACCCCGGTCCCAGGCCTGTGGCTCATCATATGTTTCCAAATCACCGATGGGTTTTGCTTCTAGTGACTTATGTAAATATAAGCATTATTTTACAATGTTTTTAAATTTAATGACAAAAATACTGCACACTCATAAAAAGTAAAAAGTAGAAAACAGCAAAAAAAAAAAAAAAAAAGAGTGGGTAAATTGTTGACTGGTCATGATTTTGTAGAAAATAGTAAATTTGAGAGCATAAGAAGTTTGAGATCAGCTTTGAAGTTCCTGAGTTCAGGTCATTAGCATTTAATTATCAATGCCACCTTTCAGCCATGGTTCTCCATTTTTATAAGTGGATGCCTAGAGCACTTGGTGGGATTTCAGCAATACTTTCATAGCTCTCCAGGTGATGTCAATGGCTAGGGTAAATGGTGTGGGTGGCATGATACAGAACATCTGACTTTCCCCTCATTCTTCCCATATGTTTACATCCTACTTATCTACATAGATCAACCAATAAACCCTTTGCGTAAAAATTACATACACACTATAATGCTCTTATAAATCTTCACACTTTGTTGACACTTAGTAAATATTAAAAACCATAAATCACAGAAAAAATATTATTAAGTTTTGTTATTATGGGTCCAATCTACCCAGTGGCTTACCATGATCTACGGAATAAATTTCATACTCCTTAGATTTGAATTAAACATCCCCAGAGTCTGTTGCCAAGATTTTCCAGCTTCTTTCAAACTACTTCCTATCCATACACAGGGCTCCAGTGAGTTAGGAATTATATTCTCCGAGAGGACCCTGGAATGTCTGCCTTCGTATCTTTGCTAGTTTTGTTCCTTTGACTTCAAACACACTTAGCCCAGACTCCCTATTCAAAGCAAACCACAGCCATCTCCTTAGGAAACTTTCTCCATTCCCCACAAGGGCGTGCCTCCATGGCCCCACACTGCACACATCCCTACAGTACCAGGAACCACGCCTGACCTTGGAGCTGGAGTTGTTTGTTACTGGCTAGTTTCCTCCAGGACAAAGTAAACTCACTGAAGACAGAGAAGGTTTCTTATAGCTTCTTCCTTGCTGTGCACTTTATAGAGAATGAAAAAGTGTTCCATTGAATGGAATAGAATCAAGAAGTCATGTTTGGGTAGTAGAAATGGAATGGACAATCCTCTTTTTTAAAGAATACAACACTGGCCAGTCACGGTGGCTCATGCCTGTAATCCCAGCACTTTGGGAGGCCAAGGCGGGCAGACTGCCTGAGGTCAGGAGTTCGAGACTAGTCTGGCCAACATGGTGAAACTCTGTCTCTACTAAAAATACAAAAAAATTGGCCAGGCTTGGTGGCATGTGCCTGTAATCCCAGCTACTCGGGAGGCTGAGACAGGGGAATTGCTTGAACCAGGGAGGTGGAGGTTGCAGTGAGCCGAGATCGCACCACTGCATTCCAGCCTGGGAGACAGAGAGAGACTCCATCTCAAAAAAAAAAAAAAAAAAAAAAAAAAAGAATACAACATTAACAAAATAAGATATATCTTTTTTTTTAAATTAAAAAAAAATGTATGTTTTGAGATAGAGTCTCTGTCACCCAGGCTGGAGTGCAGTGGCACCATCTCGGCTCACTGCAACCTCTGCCTCCTGGGTTCAAGCAATTTTTCTGCCTCAGCTTCCTGAGTAGCTGGGACTGCAGGCGCGAACCACCACGCCCGGCTAATTTTTGTATTTTTAATAGAGACGGGGTGTCACCATATTGGCCAGGCTGGTCTCGAACTGCTAGACCTGATGATCCGCCTGCCTCAGCCTCTCAAAGTGCTGGGATTACAGGTTTGAGCCACCGCGCCGGGCCAAGATATATCTATTAAAAATATATTAAACATGTTTTCCTGTCTTTAGAGTCATATCCTGTTGTGTCTGTCCTTTCAAATGGAAACCTTGACACAGCTGCAGTACACTCTGCTTTAATTACTTACTTAATTTGAAGAATGTTAAAGGTAAAATTGTAATAAGAAATTGTTTCCCAACATACTTTCCTTAGGTTCCCTGCTACCTCTTTAGTTTTGTTTTTTTCTTTTCATTCCATATCTCCAATCCACACAGAATGAATTTTATTTCCTTCCCTCGTCAGTCTTTCAACCTCCCCCGCAATTCTCAACCCTGCAATTCAACACTCTGCTCCCAAACCAGCCTTCTTGTCACTTCCAACTCATCTTCTTATTTAAGCTGCATTGCTTTTCCGTGAATTAGACTGGATCTTAAGTGAAGGAGACACAAACCAACTGCAAATGATGAATAAATACCATCAGTGGGGACTTAGTGAATGGCTAGGTCATTTTCACCCCCAGTGCCAGGACCATCATGGGAAAGTCGTCCTTTTGGCTGTTCCGGAAGAAGTGGCAGCATAGTGACTTTCTCCTTTCCCTGTGGATAGCATGCAACAGGACCAAAGGGAGTATTCTGGGCTCCCAAAACATGGGGAAGAGCCTATGCTCTCATGTTTGGACATTCCTAGCAACGGGTTCCATTAAAAAGCTGTCCTAAACTCTAGGCTTATCAAGACTTTTACATAAAAAGACTATTGCATTTTTAAAACATAAATTTCATTCCTTTATGAACTTCAAATTTGCTGCTACTAAAAACATGATTGCTCTTGTTTCCATGGGACTTTTCTTCTAGTGAGTCTTTGTGGAATGCCTGTGATGGCCAGGTACTAGTATAGCGGCGCAAATACAACAGCAACTAGTCAGACACACCTACACTCAAGGAATTTACATTTGTGTTAGTGAAACAGGCAATAAAGAAGGGAATGACAAGCCCACCTTTTTGCTCTTGTTCACCACTCAGTGAAGGTCCATGGGCTGAGGTGGGCTGTGGGTCTCTTTGTCTGGTGCACCTTGTTCTGAAGCAAGGGCATCCCAACAGACAACAGCTGCCCTTGTGTGGCCCAAGGCTCAATATTGTCCTTGACGTGGACATGGAAGGAAACACAGAAATTTCAACCTCTGCTTCCGAGAAATGATTGCCAATTCATTCAGAGGTTAGTCTGCAGAGCTGACTGAGATCACCAAGGGAAACTGGAAGCTTATTGCCTTCCAACTTTATTTCTTTGAGTGCAAAGCCTATGAAGATAATCTGTTCTCAGTCAAAGAGAAATTTAATATAGCACTCCCTGATTTCTTCTATTTAATTCATAGTCTCCTGGCAATCCCTAAAGTACATTCACTGTGTGTTCAAGTTTTGCCTTGTTGTTTGCTTGCATCAAAGAGAGAATTAAATTGTACACACACACACACACACACACACACACACACACACACACACACACACAAAGTGAACCCAGATCCCGGTTCCCTCAAGGCTGGCCTAAAAGTTATTGTTTTCATATCAGGTTTAATCAACAGCTTCTGTCATATTCCATATGCCACCTCGTTCTATTGCTAACACTTTTATTTTCTAATGATTAACCTTAACACACACAATTTTGCCTTAGCTTAGCCATTTTAGTTATATAATCATTCTGAAGGAAAAGGTCAAATTTATGAATTTCTAGACTGTTCAGCACCCTGTAGGGACTGTCAAAACCTTTTAAAATAAAAGTGATTATTTTCCATGCCAAGAAATCGCTGGGTCATTGGGAACAGTGGGCGCATCTTGCTTCCCATGCCAGCATGCCCTGAGTGTCCCTGGCCAATGCATTTCTAGGGGTTTCCATGCTAGATGTCCTCTTTAGACATAAACAGTTTTCACGCCCAGCTTAATCATTTATCCGAGGGTTCTTTAAAATGTGAAAGTCATTCTATAAAGAAAAATTTTTTTTTTTGAGACAAGAGTTTTGCTGTTTTTGCCCAGGCTGGAGTACAGTGGCGCGATCTTGGCTCACTGCAACCTCTGCCTCCCAGGTTCAAGTGATTCTCCTACCTCAACTGCCCAAGTAGCTGGGATTACATACAGGTGCCACCACACCTGGCTAATTTTGTATTTTTAGTAGAGATGGGATTTCACCATGTTGGCCAGGCTGGTCTCGAGCTCCTGACCTCAAGGGATACACGCCCGCCTCGGCCTCCCAAAGTGCTGGGATTACAGACATGACACACCGCAGCTGGCCAGAATTTTAAAATTTAATTTAGAATTAAATGATTAAGAAAAATAAATTTTGCAGCTGAAGATGGAAATTCCATGCTCTAACTTCCCCATGCCACCAGTGATTACACTGTAAGGTGGATCCTAAAACATGAGGTCATTATAGGGAGACACCACTCTGTGCCTTGGTGTGAGTCCCCCACTCTCTCTACCAGACTTTTTACTGTCTTGTCTTTGCCTTTCCATTCAGTCAGGGCTGTCCTGGCAATGGAAGGCACTGCTGCGCACCCTCCTTACACTCTGGCCATTGAGAGTTTGGTGTGTAAAGGACAGCAGGGATTTACAATCCCACAGACACAGAGTTTGAATTGGAACTTTCCTCTAATGTCAGCAGGCTGAGCTCCATTATGGACACATCCCAGAGTCCTTACAAGAGGAAGAATCTGGAAGATGCTGGAATGGCTTGGACTTAAAGAGCCTTCTAACCTGACTCACTGTTAACTTCCTGTGATGGTTAATTTTATACATCCACTTGACAAAATCATGGGATGCCCAGATATCTGGCTAAACATTATTTCTGGTTGTGTCCGTGAGGGTGTTTCTGGATTAGCATTTGAGTTGAGAAAAGCAGATGGCCTCCCCAGAATGGATGGGCAGCATCCCATCACTAAGGACCCGAACAGAACAAAAAGGCAGAGGAACTCTGAATTTTCCCTCCGCCTGACCTCTTGAGCTGGGACATCAATCCTCTCCTGCCCTCAGCACTCCTAGTTCTTAGGCCTCAGACTCTGACTGGAATGCACACCATTGGCTCTCCAGCTCCCAGGCCTTCAAACGGCATCAGCAGCTTTCGTATGACTCCAGCTTGCAGATGGCAGATTGTGGGACTTTTCAGCCTCCATAAACGCAAGAACCAATTTCTCATAATAAATTTCTATTAATCTATCTATCTGTGTATCGATCGATTGAACAATCCATCCATCCATCCATCCATCCATCCATCCATCCATCCATCCATCCAACCATCCGTCCATCCATCCGTCCTCCTTTCCTTTCCATCCATCCATCCATCCATCCATCCATCCATCCACCCACCCCTATCCTATTCCTATCTATCCATCTATCCACCTATTCCTCAATCCATCTATCTTTCCTATTGGTTCTGTTTCTCCAGAGAGCCTTAACATACTGCTTTAGAAACCTCCATCTCTTCCACATACTGCAGTCTACCAGTTGGATCTTTTGTAGGCTTCAACCCTAACCTCTCACTTCCTGAGTTCAGTGCCTGGAAAAACAGCCTCTTGGGTCTAATCTTTTCTTCCGAAGCAAGGCCCCTGCAGGCAGCTCTCACCCGGGTTTGCCAGGCTTCATGGCAGGTTCAGTTCTACTTTTACTATATCTCTAACCCATAAGTTCTGCTTTCCAAGACTTTTTCTAAAATTGGGGATCAAGAAGTGCTGGGGCTGAAAGCCTAACAAATATCTAGGAAGGAGAATCTACTTAACATGGGGAATAGGACTTTCTGCATCTCTGTTTTTGAATAGAGATTATCTGGAGCCTGTCTAGGTTATCTGCTCATGCTGAAAAAGGCTTCTCTAACACATGTATTTTCTCCACAAGGCACATCATAGCCTTCTTGCACTTAGGAATACTAGACAGCACTATGCTTGGGGGGCATTTTAAACAGTAAGATCACCAACAAAAAGCACAAAAATGTAAAAACCACGGTACTAAATAGGCCATGAAAAGGACATCCTTGTTCATAGCATGAGAGCTGAAACAAGAAGGCAGAGCATTGCTCTTTCATCCACAGCAGACAGCAAGAGTGTTGGGTGAGTCAAACTTTGTTGCTCTGCAAATGTCGATGAAGATCTTAAAGGCGTCTGGAATACTGATTTTGGGGTTACAAATAAGACTTAGCGAGTGGGCAAACAGCAAAGACAGAAACTGTGATGACACTGTCATCACACACTTTGAATACAATGTTTTCTGAGTTTGCCGATTTGTGGACTATCCTGAATTTGTGCTCAATTTTTATCTCTCTCCAACTGCTTATGTTTTGCCTCTCTCTCCATGTCAACAGATTACACTCTATAAGGGAAAATGGAAATAAAGATGCAGGCGAAACTTGAATATCGGTGTGGGTTTTGCATGGCAAACACTGACGCCAAATTTGCCTCTACTCTGAATGCTCAAGTTGTGGGAGCGCTACTTTAAGATGGAAATATGTGCTCTAAGGGAAATAATAACCAGAATAACTTTAGTTTTAAAATTATATACCAAGAGGAAAAAAAATAGTAAAAACCCAACTCCTTCTTACTAAGTTTTTAAAGAAACACTCAAAAAAGTAAAATTAAACCCCCAGAGTATAATTCCCATTCTAATGACCACTGAGCACGTCATTGCTTTTGGTTGATAAAATAAGCACATGTTCTTCTCTTTACCTCGAAAACTTGAATGATTTCAAAGACAACAAGTAGGCAGTAATTTAAAGTCTTTTTTTGTGAGCTTGCCATTCTGCTCTTCGTGGGGATCTTTGTGATGGGAAACTGTAAATACAGTTTTAGAAGTAAAAGCTTTCATCTTAATGACTATAGGATTAGAAAAAGATAAGAAGCTACTATAGGAAAAGTGGGTGGGCTGGGCACAGTGGCTTACGCCTGCAATCCCAGCACTGGGAGGCTGAGGGGGGCGGATCATTTGAGGTCGAGAATTTGAGACCAGCCTGGCCAACATGTTGAAAGTGTGTCTGCTATAAAAACAAACAAAACAAACAAACAAACGAACAAACAAAACCAACCCCCCCACAAAAATTAGCTGGCATGGTAGCGCACACCTGTAATCCCAGCTACTTGGGAGGCTGAGGCATGAGGATTGCTTGAACCTGAGAGGCTGAGGTTGCAGTGAGCAGAGATCATACCACTGCACTCTAACCTGGGCAACAGAGTGAGACTCTGTCTCAAAAAAAAAAAAAAAAAAGAAAAAAGTGGATGGATATTACCACATATTTTTAAATAAAATTTAGCAATCCTGGTAATTTTGGGTTCTTGATTTTAAACACAATATATTTCTGATTATAAAAATATTTTTCTGATCATAAAAATAGATGTCTTTAGAATTAAAAAAACACATAAACATAAAAAGGAGATAATTTAAAAAGCTTATAAAACATAGAAGAAAAACTAGCCCTAAATATTTCTGAAAACCAATATAATGTCATTTTAAATGGCACACAGGGCAATACCAACATAGATCTCTTTGTTCGAAAGATAGATTTTTTCTGTCTTTTAATTTATCTAAAAATAAATCATGGTGTATTTTTTTCCCTCCATTCTTTACAGGAGTATGGGTGTTTTATCTTATCAGATTTCCTTCATGGGGAAAATGTATGTGACTTAGTCACCCAGCCAGGTGATGGTTGACTACAGGTGGACCAAGGAATGAAAGTTGGCAAGTTTGGGCACTTTTTTTATATTCAATTCTCAGGAAAGAGATACCCAAAATTATGTGTCTCTGCTGAACAATACATACAATTATGACCAGCAATAGGAGTTGTGGAGGCCATAGCTCTGGGGTTCAAAATGATCCTGAAATAAAGTATTAGAAACCCTCTCATTTCTTTCTAATATTGGAAAAGTCACATGTCTTTTAAAATTAACAACCACATTATCATGAGCAATTCTAATTTTCCCCAATGTAATCATCACGAAAACATTTGTGATTGACAGGTTTTCTACCCCAGATGTAAATTTTTGGAAATACTAATATACAATTACTTTTCATAATGGGTGCACAGCTACTAAATGATGTATGGCCAATTCCCAAAGTTTCAAATGGATAAATATTAGTCTAATGTGCTCAATCAATGCAGAGAAATAGCTCTAAGCCCTTTTCCTGCAAGGGAAAATATTTACCGTATATCACAGATAGATTGGCCACAGGCACTAAGCAGTGATGGAGAAGCCTAGAAATCCTTGTAAATGTCCTTGTACTTCAGTGAAGGACATCCTCAAAAGACAGAAAGGAAAAAGAAAAGAAAACTCTGAATGGTGTTACCTCAAGCATTCTCTAAAACACAGCACTTAGAATCAGACCTGCATCAGCACGTTGCTGCTTGACACACGAAAGCCCCTTTGCATTTAACAACAACACAACAAAGGTTACAGAGAACTTTTGATATCCTTCATTTACCAGATTATTTCTTCCATCCATAGTTTACAGCACTGAATTAGAGATTGTTAATAGTAATAATAATAAGAAAAAAAGATTTTGACCATGGACTATGATGTAACCCATCATAGTGGATCAACTGTATACTGAGTCTGACTAGAAAAAAATCAAAACAGTAAAATACCAATCAGATGCACTTCACATAATGTTGTCCTTTTAAATTTTGAATTGTGGTACAATATACATAACGTAAATACCCTTTGGGGTTTTTTTTTAAGCAATTAGGCACACAGTGTGCAATTTATAACTGCTATGAAATAACCCTACCCCTCTTTATTTGGGCAAAGGTCACTATGGATTTTTTTTTTAATTTTTAACTGTAGAAAAGGATGGAATTTCCCACCTTTCCTTAAATAAGAAATTCCAGACAATCACATCATGTCCATTACATCCCAATACTCGGTTTTGACTAAGAACTGGATGCACATCTATCTAACTGTCCAAATCCCTTTTTGGATTCTCAAATAGTGAATCTTCTTGGAATCAGTGGTTAAAGTTCCCACTTTTTCACCTGGACCGTATGGGTGACAGACTCCCTGTTTGCTAACATGAGGATGACAGTTACAGATTTCAATGCAAACTAAGGAAGAATTCTCAGCTGAGTTGTGCTGTGTAGAAAACAGAATTGGCAGCTTTGTGAAGTGGGGGCTCCCAGTACTTAGAAGTCCCGAACTGTGGCTTGACACTCACTGCGGGATCAGAATCTCCTGGTGGGCATTCACTAAACTCAGATGCCCAGACCTCATCATTAATTGTCCTCGGTGGGACCCAGGCATCGGCATTTCTTAAAAACCTCCCCAGGCAATTCCAATCTACATTGAAGCCTGCCAATCCCTGTGTAGTCACAGGCTACAGGCTCCCAGGTCAACCCAGGTGGCCTCTGACATCCCTACCAGCCCCAGGACTGTGGACTAGGACACGGTTTTGCCTAATGACTGATTATATCCTGCCTTGGTTAAGGGCAATAGAATTGAGAAGATTAGCACTGCCCCCAACTGGCTACAAAAGGAATGGAAAAGCTCAAAGGAAGAACCATGGAGGTAGAATATACCGGGAGCCAAGAAAATTGTTTTCAACTACCTGAAATGAGAGAGGTTCCTCTATAATGATGAACAAATGACAGAGAAAGCAGTTTTGATCTAATAATGTCCAGTCCAGGGGTAAATGGGGTTCTTCCGCTCCTAACACTTTTGTTGCTCTTTGCCCACTTCTTGGTGTACTAGTAACCACCCTATTGGGCACTCAGTGTCTTCCCAAATCCACATGTGTTCTCAGCAAAGGCCTGATCTCAGTTATTTACACCAGCAAAGTGAATGCAAGTTTACCTGGTAACCTCACTCAAAAGTGTTGCATTTTGAGCCTTAACTCCACAAAATGAAGAGTCTGAACCATTTTGAAAGGAACCTAAAGACAACTGAGAAGGCAAGGACATCTTTGTAGAGCAGAAGTCTTTTCCTGTAAGTCTGAGATCTTTCCATAGAAGCGGCTGCTAGAGGGAAAGATGAGAGACAGGGTGAGGATTAATGGGGACAAAACCCTGGAAGAGAAAGTTGGAAACGGTACAGTCAATCATGAGAGCACAGGACATTTACAGAGAAAAGAGTGAGGAGGTGTTTTTCAATTCCATAAAATAGAAAATAGGAAGAGTGAGCTTAGATCATAGCGTGATCAATTTTAAGCAAATAGACGATGAGAAATACTTTTCTGATTACATAGTGGACTGGGTGGCGGACAGAGGCTGAAGAAGTGTTTAAAAACAGGCCATGCATTCTCATATCTGCATAGAACATCCAAGCATTACATACGTCTCTCATTATTCCAAAGCATTACATACATCTCTCCTTAGAAGAGCGATGAAGCTATAGGACACAAGACCCAGTCCAGGATACAGCATGAAAGAGAAGATATTAAATAGCTAGCAGAGAGTCAGATGACAATCAGTAGATAAAAAGGGCTTGGAAATGGTAAGCATTATAGAATTTTGGAAAACCATTTTTTTCCCATAGTTAAGAGACCCCATTCTTCAAGGCCTTGATCCTGAATAAATGTCCTTTCAGGGTTGACACCCTATTTTTATGACTTAAAATATTTGGACGGGATATTTGGAAGTTTCTAAACTCTGCTGAACTAAAATCTGCTGAACAAATAAAGGGAAGAACTCTGTTTTGTACCATGTAATTTACTTAAATGCCCCACTACAGTGTAAAAGTAGACTAGACCATTCACTTCATGCCCTCAGGTTTTCAACATGCCAGATGTCCAGTTGAGGAACGTATCTAAATCTAAGGATATTCCTAAATTCTTCTGCAAAGTTTCAAGGCTATTGGTAATAACATATATTTAGTGGTCAACTTGGAGGCTAACGTTGGTCTTTCTATTTCTGTAACAGCTTGCACAGTATCATGCAGGCATACATGTGAGTCTAGATGTAGATCTAGACATATATAACCCAATCAGTGCATTTCAAGTATCTAATTCTACCCTCTTACAAAGTTTTATTTATTGTTAAGATTATTTCAGAAGCACCATAGATAGGAATATGTATGTTAAATTTAGCTAATTCATGCTATTCACACAAATGCACTACTACTTTGTGATTTTATTGTAAAAAATGATATTTGCATGCTCAGTCAGCCTCAGTACTAAGCATCCAACTTCCCGATTTGCTGATTTTTTGTAGGTAGAACTGTGCATGACTCAGAAACTAAAGAGAACATGTAAGCCCTACATTCTTTCATTGAAATGGTGATTGCCTGGATCACATGCACAGAGCCAGTATTCATTGCACATAATGTAGCTTCCCTGTTCTCAGTGTTCCCTGGATCTGGCAGCACCTCAGGGTCATTTAAACTACACAAACTTTTCAAGGATCCTGCACTTTCTGTCTGTGTGGCTCCGTGTGAAGTAGCCTGTTAGTCCCTTAGCAGCAAAGTATGAGTGGATCATAATATAGTATCTGAAATAAGGAAACTATAAGTGATTCTCCACTTGGGATGACACCTTTCTTGAAACTCATCCTCTGGTAATGTGGAATTTGAAGAGCTGATATTTGTAATCTCTAACTTTTAGGAGAGAAGGAAAGACAATGATATCATGGAATGCACACATTATAATATTTGCTGTGAATTACGTGCTTCCTATGAAAAGCTACAAAGATGAAGGCATCTCTTTCTCTATGTAGCAACTGTGCTCTAGCAGGCTGTTGCTTCAGTAAGAGCACTCTTTACTCACAGCCCCTGTACAACCTGGGCTCCTACAATAAAATATTCCAAATGTAAGCTTGCCCTCTCATAAAGTCCAACAAATTCAGTCTCTAGTCTCAACGTTCTTTATCTTTGTTGTTGGTTAATTTGCTCCTCTGAACTGATAGTATGTAAAACAGTATTCTTTCTCTCCCCAGGACTGAATAGCAGAATTAGAATGTCTCCCTGCCTCTCTTCTCTAATCTTGTAAGCCATTGGTAAGTTCAATATCTGTTTCAAACACATTGTCATTGACCATTATCCAGGAAAACTCAATTCACCATGACCTTTAAGTTGAAAATACTCTTTAATTAAACATCAAGGAGGGACAATTACTGAAAATCAATCCCTGGCATTTTCTAATTGTGGAACAATTTTTTAAATGTCAGGGTCCATGTTCATGTAGGCCATTTTACATTTTTATTTTTCATTTTTATTAGTTTTCCCTCAATTCTGTATTTATAGATTCATTACTCCCAACAATTACCCTTATAAAAGGTTCCAAGTGTTTCTTTTCATGTCTTGGATTAATGGGCCATAATTTCACACCTAACACTTTAGTAAAGAAACATGCTTACTTATAAAACATACAACATGGGTCAAAATCCAACAAAAGCTTCTAATATGAGACTAATTAAATTAAATTGTGATTAGATTGAAGGAGTGAATCAATTAAATAACAATGGCCTAAACTTCAAGTTACACTTAAAGATCTATATATTTAAAATGTCAACAACATGCAAAAAAAATCACACCAAATACAAATATGCAGACAGGCTACATGTAGCCAGAAGGATATAGTAGGATAATGGGCCTTACAGATCAACAAATTGGAGAATTTACAATGGAGAAAATAACACCAACACATAAAAATACTATACAAGTCAAGCAAAGGTAAATTATTCATCCATTGAAACAAATATTTATTCAGGATAATGCCTAGAGTCTAAATTTGTCTAAGAAACCACAGTAGTTAGAATAAATCCTAATTTGGAGAAATTGATCAACTGATTCTAAAGTTTATGTGGAAGGGCAAATGACTTAGAATATGTAAACTGTTTTTTTAAAAGGACAAATCTGAACAACTAACACTATCTGCTTTTAAGACTTATTAGAAATGTACAATTATCAGAATAATGTGGTATTGGTACAAACAGAATAGATCAAGACAAAAGGATAGAGAGTTCATAGATAGAACCTCACATATATGGACAATTGATTTTTTGACAGAAGTACAAAGGCAATTCTGTCAGGAGAAAACAGTATATTTAACAAGTAATGCTAACATAATTTGATATTCATATGCAAATAAACTTTGATTCCCACTGATTTGCACAAAATGAATAATAGATATAAAGGTAAAACACTAAACTATAAAAGTTCTAGCAGAAAACAGAAGAGAAAAGCATGATCCATAAAAGAACAAACTGACAAACTGGACTTCATCAAAGTGAAAAGATCTGCTCTTTGAAAGACACTATTAAAAGACTGAAACAGCAACCTTTACCTTGGGAGAAAATATTTTCATGTATCTGATAAAGGACATGTAACTAGAGTATAGAAATCACTCTAAAAACTCAATAATAAAAGTGTAATTAAGTAGTGGCAAAAGAGTTGAATGGATGCCTCACAAAAGAAGATACAAGGGTGGCAAATGAGCACATGAAAAGAGGCTCAACATCGTTAGTCATTAAGAGAATGCAAATTAAAACCACACCTATTAGAATAAAACCAAAATTTAAAACATGAAGCATATCAAGTGTTGAGAATGAGGTGGAGGAAATGGAACCCTGATTCACTGCTAGTGGGAAGGTACAATGGTACAACCACTTTGGAAAATAGAAACATACACTATCCAAATGGCCCAGTTATTCCACTCCTAAGTATTTACCCAATAGAAATTAAACCATATGTTCATAAAGTTGTAAATAGTCATAACAGTTTTATTTTTAATAGTTCCAAAGTGGAATGACCCAAACGTCCACCAACAGGTAAACGGATAACAAACTGTGAAATGTCTCCAAAAGAATGAATAAAAAGGAATGAACTATTCCATTGATAAGTTACAACATGGATAACCTTAATATAATCTATAATCTCAATACCGTGTATCTCAATATAATTAGGCTGAGTATAAAAAGCCAGACCTAATAAGAGTACAGGTTGTATTATTCTATTTATATAATAAAAATTTCAGGAAATGCAAAGTAATCTGCATTGACAACAAGCACAGTGGTTGCCTATGGATGGGGAAAGACAGGGTTGTGTCAGAGGAAGGGATTACAAAGGATGAGGAAACTCTTGGGGGTGATAGAGAAGTTCACCGTCCTGATGGTGAGGGTGGTTTCACCGATGTGTACATACAACAACATGTATCAGACTGTACACTTTCAACATGTGCAGTTACTTCAACTATTTCCAAATTACATAATCCTTTGTTTTTCCCTCCTGTCCATTATCTACAACTTTGAATTGGTTGGAGAGCTTTAGAAGCCTTTGTTGGACACTATTAGTGGCCTGCAGGGTCTGCAGTCATGGGTATTTCTAATCTTCCTTGACCTGCTTTGTCTTCCTTTGGTTCCCACCTTTGTTGCTGTTATAAGCCCTTTAATCACTGCACTACTAGATGCCATCTAGTAGGACACCATGTTCCCCATCTTTGAACATCTTTTCCATCTTCTTTTCCAATTGCAGTGCCTGTTTGGCCCTCGTTTACCTCCCCAGCTCTCCTTGGCTATACTAATTCCTCTTAATTCCTTCAACATACCCTACTTCACCTTGATTTGGGGTCTTCTTATTAGAAGTTCTCTATTTCTGGAAAACTTTCCTTCTAACCTCTTTGATCCTGGCTAATTCCTACTTATTCTTTAGGCCTCAGCTGCATGTTGTTTTCTTGGGAAAGTCCAATTATTTCTCCCACCAAAGTTTGGCTTCAGTGGCCCTGATAGAAGACCCTGAACTTCCCATCAGCACTTCTCCACTCAATTACATTGCCCTGTTTACTTACCAGTATTCCTCCAGGGCACAGGGTCACCTCAATTCAGATCTGATTAGGGACCTGATGTATATCAGGTAATGGGGTTAGCTGTTGGAGGCTACAACTTCCCCATTTCCTGGAGTAAATTTAAGGATATGTCCAACTAAAACCAAACCAAACATTTGTTTCCTGCCTGTGAGCACAACATAAGAAATTCAAACTAGGTGACCAACTGTCTTATTAAACTTCCATTTGTACCAAAAGCAACTTCTTACTGAGAGGACATTTTGGTCCTGAGAAATTCTTCCCTGTAGTGTTTTAGGATAAGGACATTTGGAATTTGAAATTGCAGTCTACTGTGTCATTTTCTCAAACCTGGTCTTATTACACTCTAGCCAAAGAAATATGAAATGAAGATCTGATCCAATTTGGGACCCCCAAAAGGAATTGTAATGAAGGTTATATTTCAAATTATGTAGGCTGGTTACATGGTCAGTATGTAGCAGCTGACTGCCTGGTGTTTTATTTTGTTTGTCTGTATAGATATAGCATATCTAAGAAAGACAACTTCATTTTATAGAGTTAGAAAAACAACCCTTGAGATTTATTAGGAAAGTCTTGTGCCAGTCCATCATTCCTGTAAATATACACGTTGATCACTAAATGGTAAGAAAGGTGATAGGAACTGAAATAACCAAAGTAGGAAAATGTCACAACAAACTCTTCTTGATCTTCTGCCTGTCCCTGTACTTGGCTCACTGTGCAGGAAAGAGTTCTTCCTTGGGTTAAACAGGAGCATGCTCAGCCTGAAGCAGAGATGATATGCCTTTCAATTTTGAAACACAGTTTCCATTGTGTGTGACCCATTATGTGTGACCTCATTTGTGGGTGATTAAAATGTGAGTGATTAGAATGTGATGTCCTCATAGTTACTCTCTCACTCCCTTTGAATTTCTTGGAATAAGTAAAACAATAATGTAAAATGAAAGTTGCTGATTTTTTATACCTCAGATATGAATTGCTGATAAACATTTTATTTAGGGCACAACCAATTCATATAAATTTAAAAGTAACCATAAGAAATGGATTTTTCAGTTACATCATCTGTAGTTTTTACATTTAACCTATTACAAAATAATAAATCATTGAACCATATTCTTTTCAGTGTCATAATCAATGCCAGACAATCAATTAAAAATTTAGGCATATGTATTAACTAGTATAGATCAATGTGGCTTGAATACACAAAATACGTCCAAATTCTGTCCAAGGTAAATAATTATGATGCTACATGGTTGTTGTGTATATATTTCACATAAATTTAGAAATTAGTATTTCAAGAGACATTACAAGTCATTATGTTCATTCTACGTCTCAAACATATTATGGGAACAGAAATACCTTTATTTATAAATAGCATGTATCCCAAAAAAATCTATGGGAATTTGAATGGCGGGCATCCAGAAACTTCATGTGGTCGCCAGTGGGAAGTATATTTTTGACAAGCCGCATACACTTAGGGCCAGCCACGGAAGTAGTGCCAAACCAATGATGCTACTGCACTTTTACTTAGCTTATTGTGATTTATTGCAACAGTTAATTCTGGCTTTCTGTTTCAGAATGATCTAGTCATCTATATTTATAATCATTTTAAATGAATATGTATTTCATGTTTTCAGTTATTCATGATCCCTTAAAAAATATAAATGCCTTACTGCTAGACACATAAGAAGATTAGGTTCTATAATAGTAAAAATGCCATCGGAAGATGAGAGAAGAGAAATTCTACCAAAATTAGGTAAAAAGATAAATTTTTAGGACTTCAAAAATAAATGCAAGGTGGAAGCAACAAGCCAAGTGTTCACTGATGAATGACTGGATCTGCAGCAGCCCATCCATACAATGGAATACTGTCCAGCCTTGAAAAGAGGGAAATTCTGACCCAGCCTATGACACAAATGGACCTTAAAGACTATGCTAAGTGAAATAAGCCAGTCACCAAAGGTCAAATAGGTATGATTGTATGATTCCACCTATATAAGGTCCTTGGAGTAGTCAAATGCATAGAGGAAGAAAGTAGGATGGTGACCATGAGAGAATGGGGGGAGGGGGAGGAGAGGGGAATTGGTGTCTAATGGGTACTGAGTGTCAGTCTGGGAAGATGGAAAATGTTCTAGAGATGGGTGGTGGTGATGGTTGCCAACAATGTGAATTTACTCAGTGCCACTGAACTGTACATTTGAAGTGGTTAAAATGGTAATTTTAGGCTATGTATATTTTACCACAATAAAACAATAATTAGAAGATATAAGTGTAAAATGTAAAACATGTAAAAGTGTTAAAAGAAAACACAGGAGAAAAATCTTCATGACCTGGAGTTAGGCAAATAATTCTGAGGCCTGATACCAAAAGCATGAGCCATAGAAATAATTTGATAAATTGTATTTTATTATAATAAACCAATTTTGATCTGCAAGAGGCACTATTAAAAGAATTAAAAGACTAACTGTAGGCTGGAAGAAAATATGTACAAATCATGTACCTACCAAAGAATTTAAATATATAAACAATGAAAACCTCTGAAGATTCAACAGTAAAAAAAAAAAAAAAAGAAAACAATTTAAAAATGGATAAAAAGCAGGAGGATAGCTTGAGGACAGGAGTTTGAGACCAGCCTTGGCAAACTAGTGAGACCTATTGCTACAAAAATAATTTTTAAAAAATTAGCCAGGCATGGTAGCACCTGTAATTCTAGTTACATGGGAGGCTGAGGCAGGAGGATTTCTTGAGCCTAGGAGTTTGAGGCTACAGTGAGCCATGATCACTCCAGCCAGGGCAATGGACAGAGCAAGACCTTGTCTCTAACAAACAAAAAACAAACAAAGGATAAAACAGACATTTTGCCAAAGGAGATATATAAATGGCAAATAAGCCCATGGAAAGACAATCAACATCACTAGTCATTAGTGAAACATAAGTTAAAGTCCTGACCAGGTATCACTACATGCCCATTAGAATGGATAAAATAAAGGCCAGATAACACCAGGGCTGGCAAAGATGCAGAGCACTAAAGACTCCAAATGACAAGATTGTATACATAGAAAATCCAAAATCATACAAAGCATTAGAGTGATTCCCTGACAGCCACACGATTCCCACCTCACCTCTGCCAGGCTTAGCTCTCATGTTGACTTTTCAGGGAAATCTCCAACCACCACCTTGTTTAATAAACATTGTAATGCCTCTCCAATCCATTCTCTCAATCCTAGGTACTTTATCTCCCCTCTACAACCTTAGCATATGAAACTAAAGTCCTATTTACATAATTTGTATGTGTCTAGTCAGTTTCTACCAGCTGGAATGTAAACCACATGAGGACACACATCTCTCTCTCTCTCTCTCTCTTTTTTTTTTTTTTTTTTTTTTTTTTTTTTTTTTTTTACAGAGTCTTGCTCTGTCACTCAGGCTAGAGTGCAGTGGCACAATCTCAGCTCACTGCAACCTCCACCTTCCAGGTTCAAGTGAATCTGCTGCCTCAGCCTCCCACGAATCTAGGATTACAGGCATGCACCACCACACCTGGCTAATTTTTGTGTTTTTAGTTAAGACAGGGTTTCACCATGTTGGCCAGGCTGGTCTTGAGCTCCTGGCCTCAAGTGATCCACCAGCCTTGGCCTCCCAAAGTGCTGGGATTGCAGGTGTTAGCCACCACGCCCGGCCGAGGACATGCATCTTTGTTTAGTTCAGGGATGGAAAGCAGAGCCTGTGTGGCATCTAGAAGACGGAACACTCCCAGTACATACTTGCTGAGTGCATGAAGGCAGTCTCAGGTTGTATTCTCTCCAGCTGTTGGACTATTTTCCCCCCATGAATCAGACTAAAATACCCCACCACTGGTTTGGTCATCCGCTCAGCTAACTAACCTAATTTCCCCTCATACTCTGACTCGTGCTGCCATCTTTCGTCAGTTTACCTGTGTTCTCTACTTAAACCTCACCTTAGATTTTATCCACTCCCTGAAAATTAGCTTTCTTGGTTTTTCTTCTTTATCTCACCCGCTGAATCTGGTTACTCTGGGATTCGTTTCGTGCCCTTTTTACAGTCTTGTCCCACAGGTCTCATCTAAATCAAGGGCTTTACAAACTGTCAAATATAAGCAGAAAATCTGCACACCCAGGTCCTCCGGTTCCCCACCTAGGTTAGAGCTGCCTCATGGTCATCTCCCTGAGCCTGTGCAGTACCACACCAAGCCCAAAAGTGCCTCATCCGGTCATTTCTGACCAGTCCTCTGGTCTGACTTCCCGACTGTATCCCTTTCTCTGTATCCAAATGATTCTTCCCATCACCCAGGGCTCAAACGTTGCAATGATCTATGCTTCCTCCTCCATCATACTTCACATCTGCTCAGCTATAAAGAGGGTTGTTCAGGGTCCCTCAGCAGTACCACGTTTCTCAGTTACATATGTGCTTTAGAATCTACAGGGGACTTTTCAAAGAATGTGGATGATTGGGCTCCATCCCAAATATCCTGATTTAATTGGTTTGGGGTTGAGAATAGGCACTGGCGTTTCTTAAAGGTTCTCTGGGTGATGCCAGCATGCAACACAGGATGGAATTCACTGGTGATGACTATGAGCTTTGGAGTCATGCATCCCCTTATCCAAATTATTGTGGGCATGACTGTTTGATATGCTGGAGCCTCAGATCCTCAACTATATATAGAGGCTCCTCGACTTACAATGGGATTACCTCCCAATAAGCCCATTGTAACTTGAAAATATCATAAGTCAAAAATGCGTTTAATACACCTAACCCACCGAACATCACAGCTTAGCCTAGCCTACCTTAAATGTGCTCAGAACACTTACTCTGCCTTGAAGTTGGGCAAAACAATCTGACATGAAACAAGTTTTATAATAACGTGTTGATTATCTTATGCAATTTATTGAATACTGTACAAAAAGTGAAAAACAAGGTTGGATTGGTACTTGAAGTATGGTTTCAACCATTGTGTATCACTTTTGCACCATCATAAAGTCAAATAATCATATATTGGGGACTGTCTGTGTAGGGATTCTAACATCAGCCTCAAAGGGTTACTATGTAGATTAATAGAGATAAATATTTGAAATTTCTAATGATAAACGGTAGGTCCTTGATATATAATAATTCTCTGTCTCTTCAGTTTTCCCATCTGTAAAATGGGAATAAAAGTACTAAGTTCACTGGCTGCATTGAATGAAAGTAAAGTTCCCAGTGAGGCACCTGTCCCTAACTATACCGTACCAAGCTAAAGGGACAGATGGAAGACGCTTTACCAGGTTAGACAAAGGTTTCTTTGTAAACCTTGCTTCTTTGTCCATTCTCATTCTCTGCATTTCTGTGGTTCTACTGGTGCATACCCCTATGTTGTTGTACCTTCTTAGCTTCTACTCCATTGTCAGATTCACATTACTAATGCAGAGCTCCAACCGTGTCATTATTAAAACTCTTCAATGGCTCTTCACTGACCACCACACTAATCATATGCTCCTCCTGCTGTCACTGGAATGGAACAAATCAGTCCTTCTAGCCTTGCTTCCAGTAGCCCCACTCTTTCCCCTGCATACCAGATAATGTGGCCCTTCGCTGTTCCACACATTGCAGCCCACTTTCATTCCCCTCCTTTCCCCCCACATCCTCAATTCTACCTAACAAATCTCTACCCATTTCGATTCATCCTGTCCTAATGCACTCAACATCAACTGGATGCTGTCATGGCTTTCACGGGATCCCTGGGGGATATCATCTGAAGAAGCCCCACAGACCAATTCACACCTCTGTGCCCTCTCTCACCAGCATAGCTTTGCCCATGCAAGATCCCACCCGCTTTTCAGGACCTAGCTCAGGAGTCACCTTTCTGAAGGAAACTGTCGCTGACTGGCCTCAGTGGGTCTTGTGCCCACCAAGGTGCTCCCATAACACCCCGGGTTCACGCCTCTCAAAATGCATCTCGGACACACTGTCAAGCTTTGCTTCACTGTCATTTGCTTCTTGACAGCAGCAAGGGTGCCTTACTCATCTGTTCTAGGATGCAACTGGCACGCAGGAAGGAATCGATAAACGAAAGACAAGGAGAGAAAAGCAGCATTGGAACCTGTGCTTGCAGTATTCCAGGTGACTTTTTTTTTACAGTCTCTCTCTGTCACGCAGGCTGGAGTGCGGTGGCGCAATCTCGGTTGAAGCAATTCTCCTGTCTCAGCCTCCTGAGGAGCTGGGATTACAGGCGTGTACCACCACACACAGCTAATTTTTGTATTTTTAGTAGGGATGGGGTTTTGCCATGTTGGCCAGGCTGGTCTCGAACTCCTGGCCTCAGGTGATCTAACCGCCTCGGCCTCCTAAAGTGCTGGGATTACAGGCGTGAGCCACCACACCCGGACTGACTCATTTATTCTGTTCTTAAACATTAAAGAAATATTAAACAGCCAGAAAGAGAAATTTTTAATGCTGTTTAACAATAATTAGGAAAGGCAAGAAAACTGTATTTTTAGGAAAAGCGATATCGAAAAACTTTATAGAATTTTTCATGGTCCAAATTCTGATAGTCACATATTTCTCATAAAGCTTTCAATTTTTCCTGTCTCATTGTCGGTTTTATACATGTGTTTGGTAGATTTGAAGCAATGCTAGTTCAGTTTAAAAAATATTGACTTCAACATTATAGCTAATTTCCAAGGGGATATTATACCATCTAGTTAAAAATAACCCTTGGAAATGTGGTTACTTGTGTTATTTACACATTTTAATGTTAGCAATAAAATGGAAGGTTGGTTACATTTAATGAATCTGTACAGTTATAAGAGAAAGACAGAGATTAATTCTGAGTAGGTCGTTGCTGCTATAATCAATAGAGTACATCATAATTGTGCGTTGAGGAAACGCCGGTATGCTAAGGCAAAAGAACAATAGTCATCAAATGAGTGGTCCCTTGGGAGTTAATGAAGAATCTCTTTCTCCAATAGGAAAGAAATGCTTTCTAAAATTTATAATACCATATGGACACCCACACATATGGATGGCTCATAAATGCTCTACATCAAAGTGTTATTTTTACATTTTCGACACAACAAACACACTAAACAGGTGTTTTAAATGTCACACTTTGAACAGCAGTAATTTAATCAGCATAAAAAATTCTTAGTAGTATCATTGAAATATTAGTGGGATAGAGATGTTTTATTTGGGATATGCTTCAACTATATATTCAAAGGCAGTTTTCGATTTTAACAAATTTAATTTTTGTACTCTAAGATCAGACTTTCCAATTCAGTGCTCTAATTCCTGTGCAATTTGACAGCAGACCAGTCCTCATCCTACACCTCCGTCACTGCCTGCTGCTTTTTTTATCCAGGCAAGGAAGCTTCCTAGGGCTTCAAACATACAATGAATCCAAAAGGACTCTGTTGGTTACTGGCTCTTAACATTTATAGATTAGAAATTCTCCTTAATAATGCCCTTCTCTGAAAGTCTAAAAATGATCTAAATATTCAAAAACAAGAAAATGACTATCTCAAAACTCACATTTCATTTTTGGAGTATGTTGCCCTCATTTAATGATATAATAGTTTTAGTGTCTAGAATCATACCTAGCATCTGGAATTAAGTGTCTGATTCTAACTATGAATATGATTCTTCTCAATAATATAAAAAATTATAATGATAGAATTAGTGAATACTAAGTTTAGTGAGAAGACCAGAATATGAAATTGTGCATACGGCATTGAAACACTATGTTTTTAGAAGCTTGTGAATTTTTTAAAAAATCCTTAAAAATGACTGTCTGATGGTTGAACTTAGGGAACATTTATTTTATAATGTCTACTCTAGTGTTTCAATAATTTTCTTTTATGGAATTATAAAACTTTAATGTGAATTTAAACATCCAAAATATTGTAAATATTACTACTCTTTCTCTTTGCATTTTACCACTGCCCCAATTACCTTTTTCTTTTCTTTAAGGTTCTGTAGATTTGGTTGATTTCAGAAAAAAAAAAAAAAAAAGGAGAAACATTATAGAAAATTGGAGGATTCTGTGTATGGGGGGGAGGTATTTCTGGACTTAGTGACATTGCAACAGGAACGTCATTCACTTAACCGTTCTTTCAACAGATACTTACTATATTTTCAAAATAATTAAACAAGCAACAGTAACAGCTAGTATATAAAGAGCTCCTTCTATGTTCTGCATTTTATGCCCTAGATTATCTCATATATCATTAGAGCAACTTTGTGAGGAAAATATTAATTTTATTATAAAAGAGAAAATCAAGCCTAGAACGATGCAGCGACGTGCCCCAGGTTGCCTGTAAGCAGTGGAGCTGGTTTCTAGAGCCCACATGGCTACGAATAATGTTGCCCAATGCAACGAGGGAAGCTGGAAATCCCAGGTGAAGAAAACCCAGTCTCTGTCCTCAAGAAAGTGAAGAATCTAAGCAAAACTTTGCAGCAACACTTTTAGTGAAGGAAAGGTTACACATCTGTGCTGTACAGCATGACAGCCACTAGCCACCTATGACAACTGAGCACTTGAAACGTGAATTTTAAATTGTGTTTAATTTTAATTAATTTCTACTTAACTTTAAAGAGTTAAATATGACTAGTGGATAAATGATTGGACATCTTAGTTTTAAAGGTTGAGGAAGATATAAAGAGGCATTTATAAAACACTGCAGGAGCTAATATGTTTTAAAAATAAAATAGTAATCCAAATACTCTTGGGAAAGGAGATCTCTGCTACAATTGCAATGTATATATGCTGCTTTCTGAGAATAATTTAAAGTTTCTCACTTCAACTGAAAATACAATTTTAATTACTTTAAATGAAAATAACTGGCATTCAACTTGTTAGATGGCATATATTTTTATTTCTACTCTAACATGAATTTATCAGACTCAATTAATTTTATATGATTGTGCATGAGAGCTCTTTTTTCAGAGAAAAAGTAGAAACATTTCTTGCTTTTCTCTCATAACACATACTTTGTAAAGTACCAAAGTCTGAACAAATAATTCACGTGGAAATTTTGATATTAATTTAACCTCTAGGAGTACAATTCTAACCTTTGTTCTAAGCATACAAATACTACATTTTGAAAGAAGAATTGTGGGCCAACTGGGTATGTATTTAGTTTGGTTAATAGCAGATCATGAGACTCAATAATCTGAATAAAGAGCAGAGACTGTTAAAAGCCAAACACTTCACCTGTTATTTCCCTTTATTTATTGTATTTGATTTGCTGTCTCCATTAAATCTCAAATCCCAAATAACCTCAGAGTTTCCATGTATTAAGCTTTAAGCATTATATAAGAATTCTATATGTAAAACATCTAAGACAAAGTTTAAGGATGAATAAAATTACCCCAAAACATACAAATTACCAAGATACCTTAAATGTCTTTGGAATATAGCACAATATAAATAAATATTTTTGTAGAAACGCAAATATATTAGAAAAGTTATTCCTCATAAGCAAAATTATCACTCTTCCTCAACAGTCAGTGCTTCATGGAGATTTCAGTGAGCTTTCTGGGTGAACTTCTAATTAAATGGCTTCCATGATTAAGTGTAACTCAGCTCAGAAAATTGGTATTTGCATATATTTGACAACCAAAAATGACAAGCATTGGAATAATTCCAATTAAAAAAAAAAACCTACAGAAAAGAGAGGGAAAAATTCCCCATGAAGCTTTGTCAATTGTTCAATTCCTTCATCCTTAAAAAAAAAGAACCTAGATAATCTTATGTCATCCTTAAAACAATAGCTATATAGATGGTCCCTGACTTACTATGGTATGCCTCAGGATGGTTCAGCCTTATGATGGTGTAATGCTTTCAGCACGCTCATTCACTTCCCATGGGGTTACATCCACGTAAACCCGTCCTAAGTTGAAAATACCATTTGTGACTTAATGATATTTTCAATTTAGGATGGGTTTACTGGAACATGACACCATCATAAGTCAAGGAGTATCTGTTGTATGTTTTTTCTTCTTCTTCTTCTTCATATCCTCAGTTTTAAGCTAAGAACATAGGCATGGAGTGTGTGCATATCTGTGTGCATGTGTATATGACTGCTCACTGTTCTACAGGCATTTAAACATCATAAGAATGATTTGATGATCCAGTCTTCTGTTAGAGGTCTAGACATATTCCACTTCTACACTTCTAGAGAACTGTTCTAGGCCATCTGCCAACAAGCCAAAGCTAGCTGCTCACCACCGGGCTCTGTCCGCAGGAGTCACAGCAAGAAATAAGACATTTTCTTGCTTCTTGAATCTTGAATGTGCCTGCCTGCTTAACTTCCTTCCTTCTTTTCTTTCTTCCTTCCTTCCCTCCCTCCCTCTTTCCTTCCTTCCTTCCCCCTTTCCTTCTTCCCTTCCCTTCCCTTTCCTTCCTTCCTTCCTTCTCTCCCTCCCTTTCCTTCCTCCTCCCTTTCCTTCCTTCCTCACCCCTTCCTTCCTTCCTTCCCCACTCCCTCCCTCCCTTCTCCCTCCTACCCTCTTTTCCCCTTTCCTTCCTTTCTTCCATTTGATTGTAGACATGGAGAAAGGATATTTCTTATTCCCGTTGATCTGAAAGACAAACTAGATAAGAAATCTAAAAACCTATCTTTTCAGACACTTAAAAAAATAGGCACAAGGAGAGGGGTCATATCATCTGATCATTTTCATTATGTATCATTGTTTGGGTTGAAAAACATGAAAAGCATTCCAAGGACAAAAGACATTACAGGTCTGGTTCCTGCCTTTGATAGTTTTACTGTTAGAATGGAAGAAAGGGAAATACATATAACGATGAGAAAGCAGCACGATGGTAATGCAAATGGAGGAAGCATTGTTACTACAGTAAAAATACACACTGATGCATGTATACATTATACATGAATTAATACATATAGAAAGGTACATATATGCATTGTATGTCTATGACTGTGTGTATACAGAATGTGTCAGAAGAGAAGTCGTCATATGTGGAAAAGAGGTTTAACTGCTTCAGAATTCAAGATTTGTCTAAATTTGAATAATAATAAATACATTTAGATTGGCAGAAAGGAGAAATTTAGAAGAACAAAGTTGAGAGGAGTGATGGTTAATACTGAGTGTTAATTTGATTGGATTGAAGGATGCAAAGTATTTTTCCTGGGTGTTTCTGTGAGGGTGTTGCCAAAGGAGATTAACATTTGAGTCAGTGAGCTGGGAGAAGCAGACACCCTCAACCTGGGTGGGCACCATCTAATCAGCTGCCAGCACAGCTAGAATAAGGCAGCAGCAGAAGATGGAAAGAGCAGACTGGCTGAGTCTTCCAGCCTTCATCTTTCTCCCATGCTGGATGCCTTTTGCCCTCAAACATCAGGCTCCTAGTTCTTCAGCTTTTGACTCTTGGACTTAAACCAGTGGTTTGCCAGGGGCTATTGGGCCTTCAGCCACAGACTGAAGGTTGCACTATCGGCTTTCCTACTTTTGAGGTTTTGGGACTTGGCCTGATCACCACTGGCTTTTTTGCTCCTCAACTTGCAGAAGGCCTACCGTGGGACTTTATCTTGTGATCATGTGAGTCAATTATCTTTAATAAACTCCCTTTCATATATACAACACCTATCCTATTAGTTCTGTCCCTCTAGAGAACCCTGACTAATACATGAGGTGAGGTAACAACTCAGTTAGCATTATGGTAACAGAGACCAGATATTGAAAGTGGGAAATCACTTGGGAGAATATTCAAATGTGGGCCTCAAGTAAATGAATTTCACATAACAAGCAGTAATGGAGTCACTACTGACACTTAAAATGGCTTAAAGTTAGGTTATTAGCAAATAGGTTATTCTAATAGAAACAATGGGGTCAACTGGATGAAATGTGGGCAGGAAGCTGGGTTAGGATGTTGCTATACTGACTCTGTAACACATAAGGATACATTCCGTATCTTAGCTCTTAATACTCCTCAAAGAACATCTATGACACCTTTCCATCCAGTATTAGAATCCATTTTACGATACTTCTGAAACTAGTCCATTCAGACTCTCAAAAAAACCTTCCAATACCTGGGAGCTTATGATTTCTCTAGGAGTCTCATTCCATTTTTCAATAGCACTAATTCTAAAATTTGTTTTTATTTTGAATATAAATCTGTTCCTTATTAAATTTACTTCCATATGGATCTAAGTTCTTCTGTAAGAAACAACACAGATGAACTCTACTCTCTTTTTCACTTGATAGGACTCAAATATCTAAAAACATATACGTATATAAATGTCATGACTATCTCACAGATTCTCCCCAATCTCCACCATATCTGTTCTGGAATAAGGAAAACAAAAACAAAAACAAAAACAAACTGTTTTTGTCCTTGCACTCAGACACTCAACACAGAACACTTCTATGACCAGATGGTGGTGGGGGGGACTTGCCACATATACCAAGCAGTTCTCCAGTGGACACCAACTGGGTATCCTATAATTCAACTCGATTCTGATTCTACCTACCTGGAAATAGCATCAGATCCCACAGATTGAGGGCTCAGCCCCACAAGACTAGAGACCTCAATCACAAGTTGGGGCCACCTGTACCTCAGACCGATGGGCTACAAACCAAGGTTCCCACAATTTCCTCAATGGGTAAGATTAATTTGCTGGAACAGTTCACAGAACTCACAGAACTCATGAAAACACTTATATTTATTGGTTTATTCTAAGGCATTATAAAGGATGCTGATGAACACCAGACGAAGAGATGAATAGGGTGAGGTGGGGGGATGCAGCTTCCATGCCCTTGCTGGAGCTGCCACCCTTGCAGCATCTCTACATGTTCAGTACCCCAGAAGCTCATCAAATCTTGTTGTTCAAGAGTTTATAGGGAGCTTGGTCTCTAGTACCCCCTTCCCAGAGGTCAATGGGTGGGGCTGAAAGTTCCAGCCCTCTAATCTTCAAATTACTTGGTCTTTCTGGGCCAATCTGGAGGCTCTCTAGGGGGTGCACCCTGAGTAAATGCATTAGCATAAACATAAGAGTTATCCAAGGGGCTAATTATGAATAACAAAATATACTACTATCACTCCAAAATTTCCAGAGGTTTTTAGGACCTCTATGACAGTAACTGGGGACAAAGACCAAATATAGTTCCTATTACACCACAGCTCTTCTTCAGACTAGACTCACACATTTTTCAACTGTTCCTTGTACGACCTCACTGTCCATCACTCTGGCTCATACTCACTTGTTCACATTTATGCTGCTCTAAAAAGGGTGCTCCAGGTTTGTAACACCGTGGTATGGTTTGACTCTGTCCCCACCCAAATCTCATCTTGAATTGTAGCTCCATAATCCCCACCTGCTGTAGGAGGAACCTGGCGGGAGGTAATTGAATCATGGGGCCGGGTTTTTGCCATGCTGTTCTCGTGGGAGTGAATAAGTCTCATGAGATCTGATGGTTCTATAAAGGGCAGTTCCCCTGCACACGCTCTCTTGCCTGTCACCATGAAAGATATGTCTTTGCTCCTCCTTCCCCTTCTGCCATGATTGTGAGGCCTCCCCAGCCATGTGGAACTGTCAGTCCATTAAACTTCTTTTTCTTTATAAATTATCCAGCCTCAGGTATGTCTTTATTGGCAACGTGAGAACGACGGATACACACGGTGATTCACAGTGGCTTGATCTGAGCAAAATACACTGTAATTCAATATTAGCAATAGATGACAAGCAACTATGGCCATGGTGAATCTCAGATGCTGAAAAGAGGGGAAGAAAGAGAGCCCCAGCCCTCACCATAAGGCTTAGAAGGGAGTGCTATGGTTTGAATGTGTCCCCTCCAAAAATCAGGTGTTGCCAATGCAGTATTATTAAGAAATGGCTTCTTTAAGATGTGATTAGGCCACGAGGGCTCCTCCCCCATGAATGGGATTTAGATACTTATAAAAGAGGCTTTACTCCGCATTAGGCTCTCTTGCCTTTTGCCATGTGAAGACACAGCAAGGAGGTGTCATCGTGCAAGCAGAGAGCAGCCCTCACCAGACACCAGTGCTGAAGTCTTTATCTTGGACTTCCCGGCCTCCAGAGCTCAGGGTGATAAATTTCTGTTCTTTATAAATGACCCAGTCTGTGGCATTTTGTTGTAGCAGCACAAACAGACTAAGACAGGGAGTGTCCATGTACTCCATGTAAAACACTTTTTTTAAATGGCCATTTAAGACCGTAAACACAGAAAAGAGAAAAACAAAGACAACTTTCTCATTTACTTTCACACTTACAAAACAGTTCTCAAATGAACACACAGAGATTAGTGAATGCATTATGAAAGAATGAAGATGGTAAGACACTTGTTCTTATTCCCAGGACAGAACCGGTGAGAGATGTGTTCGCTTTTGTTCCCCACCGCCACCCCACAAAGACACATATCAGTGTTTACTTCCTTGAAATTGGCATTTTCAGGATTGGAATATCCCCACAATAAACTTCCAGATGCCTGCACATCTTTCAAATACGGCATCTTAAGGATGCCATATTTGAACGGTATTCTTACCATTATCCTTCCCGCCTGCTTCCTAAAACACTTTCATAACCAGAGATAATAACATTCCTCGTCTACAAGGCAGCTGCATGCCAAAGACACAAGCAGCTGCACCTCCGCTCAGTCCACATTGCTGGGTTTTTATAACGAAAATGTGCACATTAGACTTTTTTATGGTTTTGCCTTCCTGGAGGCGGAGTAGCTCTGAGGTCCATCATTCACTGATATTAGAAGGCTGCCTGTGGTAACACAGAACCCAATGTAGCAGATAACAAAAGGCAAATATAATTTGAATCAGAGAATGGCAGGACTGGAAGACTCAACAGAAAAAATCCCGTTGTCTTCCTGACTTTCGGTGATGATCTGAATTACCTCTGAATATCTGGAACGCCATAGCAGCCTTTTCTTGGTGGTGGGATTATGCGTATTTCTTAGTTCTCTTATTTTTGTTTATCTGTATGTTATTTTTACTCAGTGAATATGTATCCCTCTTCAAGACAAATATATGTGTTCATTAAAAATAAAGGAGATTAGGTTAGTCATGATAGTTTTATGTTCATTTAAAGATGTGTCCTCCTAACAGCTTTTATAGATTTAGGGTGGCTGGCTAGTTCTAAATAAAAACTGACATTGTTCCTTCTTAAACATGCGGTGAAAACTAGAGGTTCACCACTGTTGCCCAGGCCCCAGTTTCCATCCAGTTGAGTTAGGATGTTGCTCAGTTAAATCTCAGCTGACAGAGGACGTTACATAGCCAGCTGTGGCTGAGAGGATCCAGTGTTTCTAGAGCTGATGCAGAACCCCAGTCACTGGGGGGAATGACGGGAAGCTTCTCAGTCCTCACAAGCTCCCCTACCATCCACTAGGACCCTCTGCTCTGCTGTTTGCCAGAGCAGTAGCTCTCAGGGACTCCACACCAGCACCATCAGCAACATCTATGAATTTGTTAGAAACTCAAATTATGATACTCCACCCTAGACAGACTGGGTGAGAAGCGCTGGGGTGGGGCCCTGTGATCTATATTTAACAAGCTCTTCTGGGGAATTGGATCTGGTTTAGCGACACAGCCACCATGCTGTGCTGGGCCCATCTTACCGACTCCTCTCCTGAATCCCCCCAGAGCTCCTCTAAGCACCACTGTGTCTCCAGTTCCTGGTCAAATAGAATACAGAGGAGACTGGGTTAATTTGATGCTCACAGCAACCTTGTATCTGATGCTCTTTTCATATTATTGCTGTTGGAGTAATATTCTATTGCCAGATGTCAGTGCTGATAAAGAATTCAGAAATGAGGAGGAACTAGAGGCATTTTCTGGGCCTCTGCTGTTTCTCTTTATTTCCAACATGCCACTGGCATGAAATATAGCTGGCTGCATTGAAAGTAGCAGTGCTTTTTTCCCCCTAAATGTATAGAAATCTGTTTTCCTTATGCGTGGGTGGCAATTTGCTGCTGGTAGCTTCAAAACCATGGCTGCACTATGAACAAAAAAAATGCTCTTACCGTCTCAGCCCTGTTAACCTCTTTCTCCCAAACAAACAAATAAACCTAAACGCTATGTCTAAGCCCATCTGTCAACAGGCATTTACTGAGTACCTATTGTGTTTAAGGGATTTTATGTGCAAGGTGTCTCAAGAGGGGGGGAAAAGAAACAAAGGCTATGTACTTAAGATATTTTCACTGAGGTTGGGCAGACAAGGCTTGAGAACAATTATCAGGAAATCTATTAGACCAACAATGGTGAAACAAAACAGTGCCAAGTGGACGCTGGAAGGCAGCGGCAATGCAGTGGGGGCAGCGTGGGAGGTGAAGTGGCCCCCAAGGTGGCATGGCCAGAGCAGAATGTGATGAGAGACCAGGCGGCTGGGAAGAGGCCTTCAGCTTAGAAACAATAAGCAACAGGGAACCACTTGGAGTTCTTGAGCGAGGGAAAGACAAGATGAGCCTGGTAACCATAATTAGAGAAGCATCACACTGAAGTGTGGGCTGGTTATCGGAGGGTAACACGGGCATGTGTTCTAATTGCTGTGTGCAGAGCATGTCATGTAGGCTGGGCTGGCCAACACCCAGCTGTCAGAGGTCTTATGTTCTACTAGGGACAGATGTGAAACAACCATGGCAAGAAACACACAGGATGTGTTAGTCCATTTGTGGTCCTGTAACAGGCTAACTGAGATGGATAATTTATAAAGAACAGACATTTCTTTCTTACAGTTCTAGACTGGGAAGTCCAACATCGAGAGGAGGCCATCCAGTGCGGGCCTTCTTGCTGTACCAGCCCATGATGGAATGCGGACGGGCAAGAGGACTGAGAATGGCATGAATCCCCCTTCACCTCCCAAAGGTCCCACCCACCTCCCAACACTGGTGCATTTCCACACTTGAACTTTGAGGAGCACATTCAAACCATAGCACAGGATAACTTTACACCATAATAAGTGCTGTGAAGACACTAGAACACCATGAGAGAGTCAAAGGGTGGGGGTCCTGCTTCAAGACACATCTGTGTTCTGACATCGCACCAAGGGCTGGTCTGTCTACGAGACTGTGGGGAGCAGGAATATGAGGAGGAAGAAGCAGATTGCGGAGATGGTGGGGCGGTAGAGGGAAATGTCTTCCGGTGTTCCTAATTCGTGAATACTTTGATTCTTATTCATATCTTCTGGTCAGCAAATCAATATTAGTATTTGTATCAATCATAACATCTCACATTTGAATTATACTTTGTAGTAGCCATGATAACTCTGTGAAGTAGACACAGAAACTCTTTACACAAGACCTTCTAAGAGAGGAAGGGGGTGCCTGTGTGTCACGCCCGCGAGGGGTGGGACTTGGATCCTGCCTGAGAGTTTTGGCCCAGGCCCGCTTCCATCCCGCTGTGCTCATGCAGGCAGCTTTCCCCTTCCATGGTGAGTGGAGCCTGCTCAGGTCCTCAGTGTCATTGTGCATGAGAGTGAAGAGGATGCCCAGAGGGAAAAGCGCTCAGCTGTGTGTGTTTCCAGCAAAACAGACGCATGGCAGAACGTGGGGAGAAACACATCGACCAGAGCTAGCTACTACGTATCACTAAAATTGAGCCGTTTTATAAATATTTTATATTCATACAATGTGCCTTGCGATGGTTGGAAGATACATTTTTCAAGATGGTCTTTTTTCACTGCCCTTAGTTGAGCCTATTAATAATTAAGGTAACTTTCTTAAATGAGAAAACGGATTTGAAAGCCAGGCAAAGTGTTGTGTACTGGGAAGAGAGGTTTCACACATTCTCAAGGAGCGTCCATAGCAATCACCAAGAGGCACCTCAAACCCTGGCATCCAGGGTGCAACTGCAGGAAGACTGAGATGGGCACTAAACATCATTCGCCTAATAATTCCCATATGACTCAGTTTCCCTACTGAGACTGATCCAGTGTGGAGGACATGGGTGCTACTTCTTTATATCCCACACTAGAGAGTGCATGTAGAAGGTAATTGACAAATATTCTTTGGAGGCATGAATGATGGTGCCTTGGGAACCAAGGAAACTAGTCAATGAAAAAAATAAATGAGTCCACCCAATTTCAGGGGGCTAGAGATGTGCTGGGCAAAGGTGTGGCCTTCTCAGGGTCATTCTCATTCCCTAGGGTGGGCACCCCGAGAGAAACAGCCCAGTGGCCTCGGGACTATCCCTAGCAGGCACCTGCCAGTAAGGCTGCACCCATAATAGACAAACCCTCTGATGGCCTGATACCTGTTGTAAACAGGTTATTAGATATTGTAAATATCACTCTTTCTGGAAATGATGGGTGCAACTGGCTTTTAAATCTTCCTCCCGTTCAGTGACTCAAGAGGTCTTCTATCCTTCAAGTGTGTTATCCTGCAGAAAAAAAATTTAAGAATAACTGCTCCAGAACATCTTCTGAGTCTCATGATTAGAGGGCCAGTGAAGGGGCTTTAGCGGCATCTCACAATTATAGATAATCTCATGGAGCAGGCTAATTACATTCCAATCCCTTCACTCATAACTAAGACTGTTATCAATAAGCCTGACATTATTGCTGATTACAAAGACTTTCTTATTTGCTCGCTGTTTAATTACTCAGCTTTTAAATGTTCCTTGAAGAAAAACTAGAAAATGGAGATAAACAAAATAAGAAAGGGGAAAAAAATCACCCCTCATCGCCTAGCGAAGGGTACGGATTGCCAACATTCTCGAGTCTCTCCTTCCAGAGATTTCCCTGTTGTGCTGACAGTCTTCATTAATGGAGTTTTTTTTTTTTAAGTATTTTTAAGTATTTCTCAAGAGTTGCAGGAGAAATAAAGAAAGTAAAGAGAGAAGAGAGGAAGGAAAAAGGAGAAGAGAGGGCAAGCAAAGTTTCAGAAGACTACCTTGCCAGGCATCTAGTGTAGGGTGGGCAAATGTTTTCTGTGAAGGACCAGCTAACCAACATTACAGGCTTTGTGGGGCTTGCAGTCTCTATAGCAACTACCCAACAACACCTTTGTACCACAAAAGCTTTCTTGTCTGCAACACTGCTTTCAGATATGTGACTAGGGCTATCATGTGTGATTATGGACATCATGATATAATTTAAGTCATCTCTGTGTGCACATTTAAAAATCAGGAATAAAATGAATTGAATATAATACTATTTAGCCTGTATCTTTCATAGGGTGTCCCTCTTATATAAGTCTTTTGTTCTCCTATCATGATAAGAGAAGCTCATGTAATACTGCCTGATGACCCTTGCTAATCCAACTCCTGCGTTCAAGCCATCCTCCTGCCTTAGCCTGCTGAGTACCTGGGACTACAGACATGCACCACCATGTATGGCTATTTTGTTTTTTAAATATTTTGTAGAGACGGTTTCTCGCTATGGTGCCCAAGCTGGTCTTGAACTCCTGGCCTCAAGCGATCCTCCAGCCTTGGCCTCCCAAAGTGCTGGGATTATAGGCATAGGCCACTGCACCCAGCCCGCTGTTCTAACCCACTTCACTGAGTCCGTGGCTCTGCAGTCTTTCTCGTGTAACTCCAGTTTTGCCTCCCCGTTTGCACTATGCTCCAGTTTTCCGTGGTTCTGCTTCCTGGTCTTACTAGGATTACAGCACAACAAACCAACAGAGAAAACCATTGGATTCCACTGGAAAGTCGAAAAAAATAATTAAGGCTAAAGTATAAGAATAATCACAAGCCTGAAGTGCTGCCACCTGATAATTATTAACCATACTAACAATAATAAAAAACATTATCAACAATTAAAAAGTTCAAAAGAGTAGCAGCAGTCATTAAGAGCTAATCACCCACCAGGTATGACGTGAAGGTCTTCATGTGCATTATCTCATAGCAGCCCTACCACAGGTAACTACTATCTCCCTACCTTATGCAGGAGGGTAACTCACAGCTGGTACCTGGAGAAATCTGAACTTATGCATCCTGAATTGGGACTCAATGCTGTCAATCCTCCTGTGCCCCGACACTGCAGGGTCTGCTCTGGAAGCACATCTGGAGGCACCGCAAACTCATCTGCCCCACATTTCAGAGGGCACTGATGGGCACAGGTGGGGGGGGGCAGGTGGGCAGAAGAAAGTCACCCCCTGCAGAGAGGAGGCCTGGCATTCATCTGAGAAGGGGCTCTCCATCCTACAGACAATGTGCAACTGTCTTCATCAATAATATTGAAGGTTTAAATGTACAGTTTCCTAACCAGGATGATTAAGAAAAATATCTGTCATCAATGAAAATGCCCTTTGCTTTCAAAATAGAAAATTCTACAAGAAGTTAGTATATTCTCATAGGTACTTTTAAAACTATTTTTTTTTTTTTAACTATTTTTAAGTCCTGTATATTTCTTCATTCATCCTGCAAATAAAGATATCTTGACCTTACAAATTAGCAAATGTTGTTCTCAATCAGTTCTACTCCAAAAGAGTAAAGAGAGATTAAGTGAACCTTATCATTTCAGAAGTATGCATTACTTCCCGTTCATAATGCAGACAGACTGTTTTTAATTAAAGCTTTTGGACTTAGGCTGGATTTTCTAGAGGAATATCATGGAAAAACTTTCCCAATGGTTGGTAATCACATTTGATATGAATAAGATGAAGGTGCGACATAACATCCGATCCATGGGCAGAGGTCCCTCAAGTTTATAAAGTTTGTCGTTTGGGAAAGATAAATTGTTATTGTTGTTATTTTTAACTAAACAGAAAAGTCAAATTAAAATGTGATTTTGATCCAACTGTGTATGTATAAAATGTATAAAAGTATAAAATAAAGCTGTCCCTTGAAATATGACCAACTGATTTGTAAAAGTCAATTTCATTAGAATATGCAGAATAGAGAGAACATTTGAGCATTTTTATTTCAAAATTCACTTTGCTAGTGCATTTAGGACCGATGTGAGGGTGGGATACATAGTTTCTCTAGCAGGGCAGCATCCCTGCCTTGCCCATGGCTTTCCTCGTGCCTGCATCTGCTCAAGGGCCAGCCCTCCTGACTAAAAACGGAGATGCCAGATCTACATAGAGGACACTAGAGCTTTAAGGCTAAGTAGTGATTATTTACTTCTTGATAAAATAATAAAAAGTAATAAAAAATAAAATTTAAAAAGGCTTCTAAGGCCAGTTGTTTATGCAGTCCCATCACACCAGAAAACATAAATGGATTTTATGGACGCACCTGTTCAGGGCCCTCTTTGGTGGGCTCTGGGTCCCCCCCGTGCTGGGGCTGCGTGGATGGCCCGTCAGCCACGCCACCCACCGTGATCTGCTGCCTTCAGAGGGCTGCTGCCTCCCTGGGTCATGGTGTCACCCCTACTCGGTGAACAGAAAAAAGTTCAAACACTTAAAAATCACTGCTCCCAAACACAGTTCTGCTTGGGTAAGTGGCAGATTCCATGTGAATCTCAGTTTTTACAGATTAAGTGGAACTGTTTGACCCCAGCTTTCAGGTCCGGATAAAATGAGAAGTTTTTGAAAAGGGGATTAGAAAAAGACCTTAGAAGCACTTGGTTTGGAAGCTAATTTTTTCCACTCAGACTCACAGGGAGGGAATCCATTGAAAGCACCAATTACTCCTTCTTTCATAGTCTGGGAAACTGGCCTCTAAATCTCCGCCTTTACTGGTAAGTCAGGCTCAGCAACCCTCCTTAGGCTTGAGTTAAACACCTTAACACCTGCCTCTGCTCCCAACATGCACACAAACCACAACCAAACCAAAAAACTATTTTCTGAGTATATAGAAAATTCGGGGGGAAAAGCAGGAAAGCACAAATCCCCATAATGCCCCCAGCATACAAATATCATAATATTTTTGTGTGCATTGATTTTTACGTAACTGGATTCATAATGTATACATTATTTTACAATATCATTGTACTTAGTATATTTCATATTAGTAAATACTTATCTACAAGAAGGGTTTTGGTAGCACAGAGTTCTCCTCCTAACACTGTATTATAATTTAGTTAGCTCAGCACCTGTTGTTGAACTCTGACTTGTTTCCACTTTGTCACAGCTATAAGCAACGCTCTACAGAACAATGAACATAACCCTGGCTACATATCTGGTAATTTTCTTAGGATAAATTTCTAACAGTCTATTTTCTGGTCCAAACGTGTAAACATTTTCAATATTTTGATATATCAGCAAATTTCTGCCCCACGAAGTTGATCCAATTTATACTCCTGTCAGTATTTTTTGTGATTCCATGAATCCAGGGCAAAATGGAACATTGAATGCATTTAAAAATATTTTATAATGAGATAAAAATGGTGTTTTATTCTTCTTTTAATTTGACATTAATTTGTCTATGCCTCTTATTTAAGGAATTGTTTGGTCTTGCATTTTTACAATTTTTCTTTAAAAATTCTCTAAGAAGTTTTTCTTTTTGAGGTCATTGGGTTTTCTCTCCTGACTTTAACCTTTAAAGATTTCCCTCTACTTTTAGCTCTTGAAACATCTCCCTTAGACCTTTAAGTTCTCCCATTCTCCTAAAAAGAGTCCTCATTTAGGAGTTAAACAGTGCACGCTGGCTGGGCACGGTGGCTCATGCCTGTAATCCCAGCACTTTGGGAGGCCAAGGCGGGTGGATCACTTGAGGTCAAGAGTTCGAGACCAGCTTGACCTACATAGTGAAACCCCATCTCTACTAAAATACAAAAATTAGCTGAGTGTGGAGGTGAGTGCCTGTAATCCCAGCTTCTTGAGAAGGTGAGGCAGGAGAATCGCTTGAACCCCAGGAGGCAGAGTTTGCAGTGAGCCGAGATTGCACCACTGCACTCCAGCCTGGGCAACAGAGCAAGACTCCCTCTCAAAAAAAAAAAAAAGTGCATGTCTACATGATTAAAGTGACACACAACAGATCACTGTTTATTACAAATCCTCATGTCTTTTAAAGTTCATGGTAATATGTTTATGTTTTAACCCAAAGTCTCTGTTCCTCTCCTATTCCCACCACTACTTAGAGCAAGGATCTTTGCATTGGAAAGCATTGGTGTGGGAGGGGAAACCTACAGTTTCTGCTGGGGTCCCCATCTTGCATATTTTGGCTTTCTGGCTCCTGTTGTTGGCGGCTGGGAGAAATGACCTATGCAGGGTCCATGGGCAGCCCTAGAGGTTGAAGTTCAAACTCAGGGATGAAAGAAAGAAAGACAGACACTTTCTTTCACGACTGTAGACATGATCAATGGCCTGCACAAAAATGAGTCTATCACTTTACACCCAGGGCCACTAGTCACCTTGGAAACTGAATCACACACTCTCTGAAAAAAGAAAGTGGAGCCACAGATCTGGGCACAGTCCTCCCCATGCTCTGAGAATCCACGCAGGCTGCCTTTGCCGCTCCCTTCTTTCTCCTCTCATGGGTGTTTCCTGTGGATGCTTCCCTCAAGCTGGTTCAGCAGACCTGTTCTGCCCTCACGGCCTCAACAGGGAAGACAGAGAACAGTAGGGGGCTCGGTCTTCAAGACACCTGTCTCCACCACCCTCTCCACTGCGCACTCACCTACAGCTCCTTCCACTGTGAGTGCGTGGAAGCAGCTCCTTCCATTGTGAGTGTGTTTTAGAAAATGTGGGAAGGTAGATGTTTCAGCAACATTTCTCCATTCAGTGATGCTGGGGGAAGTAGAGCTTCTTGCCTGGTGAGTCTGCAATGTCTAGATTTAAGGGTCCCCATCTACTGTCCCTGAAAGGACGGGCACATGGAATAAGAGTCCTTATCTGCCAAGTCCTAGTAATGCTACTGCAGAGGGGAACGGCTGAAGAGCTAATAGCTCCCTTTCATGTTAAATGATTCAAAGTGATCGTGAATAGCATATTTTGATACAAGGATATTGCAACTTTCTAAATTTGAAAGGATATACATGTGCTAATGCAGAAAAGCTTATGTATGGACATACTACAAGTGACAGTCATATTCTGCATTTGTAAAAGAGACCTGGTTGAAAAATATGGTAAGCGTTCATACTTTCAGGAATTGCTTCTCTCTCAGGGATGGTGCCTCTGATGATAGTGTGAATTGGAAAGCTGAAAAATTATACTCTCAGTACTGCTGGTTACATTTGCAATTTCTGCTCAAATTTTGATTTGTCCAAAGCCTGATACATTTTATCTAGCCATCTAATATCATTTAGTTTCTGGATGCTGAGGCTGTAATAATTTTCATAGCCTCTGTACTAAAATGCTACATTTTGTTTTTCTTTGTATTTTATCATGCAGGGTGAAAAATATGAACACATTTTTATAATTCTGGGACCAGTTATATACCCGGAGGTCTGGCAATTACTAGAATTCCCCACCAATTATTAGAATGATAATATCAATAACTAAAGTTTAATTGTGGGTGATATAATTTGGATATATGTCCCTAACCAAATCTCATGTTGAATTGTAATCCCCAATGCTGGAGATGGGGCCTGGTAGGAGGTGTTTGGGTCATAGGGGTGAAACCCTCATGGCTTGGTGCTGTCTTCACAAATAGTGAGTGAGTTCTCATAAGATCTGGTTATTTCAAAGTGTGTGGCACCTCCCCTTCGCCCCACTGTCTTGCTCTTGCTCTCCCATGTGAGATACCACTTTTGCTTTTCCTCCTGCCATGAGTCAAAGTTCCTTGAGGCCTCCGTAGGAGCCTAGCAGACGCTGGCGCCATGCTTCCTGTACAACCTGCAGAACCATGAGCCAATGAAACCTCTTTCCTTTATAAATGACCCAGCCTCAGGTATTTCTTTATAGTAATGCAGGACGGCCTAACACGGTGGATAAATGTTCAAATGATTAAAAATTTTGTTTAATGCAAACATTTAAATAATTCAACAAACCAGGTCTCTGGAATTATAAAGACAATGGGTAGGGTAACCTCAGACCAGTTCACTAGATCATAAATTGATTGAAGGCAGTAGACTCAGGACAAATAAAAGTAAGAACTACATTACTTGGTGCCTGATGAAGTGGGGAATCATTTATCTTCAAAGATAGTACCACCTAAATATTTCATTAGATTCCAGAAGGGTTCATGGATGATAGATGCAGAAGTGATTTGCTAAAGGCACAGGCAGGGAAGAGCCTGAATCTTTTAAGGTACAAATTTCAAAGACAGCACAGGTATTCACAAAGCATCCCTTCTAGTCACTGGCTAACCGCATGGCTCACCCTACCCATTTCCGCAGTTTGTGGCAGTCATTATTGCCAACACTAAAAAGAGCCTGCTGGGTTTTGGAGGTACCTGGAGCCCTGAGCCCCAAAGTCTCAGGAAGATCAATTAACTTTAATACTTAGCTTCCTCATCCACAAAATAAAGAAAATTCTTTGTTTGCAGGGTTGAAATGAGCATTAAATGAGATGATTTTGGCAAAGATCCCAGTACCATGCCTGGCACATGCTGTGATTCTCAGGGACCAGTCCCTCTTCTCCCATCCTCGGTCATTGCTCTTGAGTTTTTGATCTTCCATATACTGTCAGAGCAGGAGGTTAACTACAGCAGCTCTGAGTTTTGTCCCTTCAAATGAAATATGTCCCACATTTATTTCAGCACATTCAATGACCATTATACCAGGAGAAGGCAGTGTCGTATGCAGCTGGAAATGAGGGCACTGACTTCACTTCACAAATCAAAAGGCATAAAGTTAGTCTGAGGCTCTCGTCAATGTGCACCTTGTAAATCTGCGGCCCTGCTATGAGACACTCATTCCTGCAGAGAGGGACTGAAATAAAATTTAGTTCACTTTCTGTAGTAGAAATGACAGTTTTTCTATGTAAAAATAGCATTCCAGTGGATTCAAAGATGTGTCATATCATTCAATGTGTTTCTGGAAACTCTGTTACTGTTAAGAATTCTGAGGACCACTTGCTGTAGTAAAAATGGCATTTATTCTATGTAAACAGAGTAAATCTATAACAAGACAGATCATTCAGTTGTTGCACGTGGAAAAAAAATCTGCCAAAGTAACCTATGTCGTGAAAGCACTTAATGTGTTATCCGGCACATGGCAGGTGCTTAGTAAGTGTGGGTTTCCCTTTCATTTCCTTTTCCTAAGGAGTGATCCATGGAGTCATCTTGATCTTGAATCCAAGAATGTCCCTCTAGGACCATCATTTGAATACAGTTGGTAAGAAGAAAAATAAATTCATCATTTATGAGTAATTGATTTGCTAAATGATCCTCTACTTAGTAGATTTACATAAGTGACATTTACAAAATGAAAATATGCCAAAACTGAAAAACCATGACATACAAATTTGATGAGAGAGGCAAAAACAAAGATAATGATAATAAACATGGAAGAAAAAAAGAGATAGATGCCTGATAGGTCAGATAGAGAGATGCCCTAGAGGACCCTATAGGCCCTCCCAATCAGGAATCACAACTCATTTTCTGAAACTATGAAAATAAAATCTAGGCTTGTATTCTTTCAATTTAAGGAAGTTCTTCTTGTTCTAGATCTTTGTTTGGCTCTTCCAAAATAGTGATACTGGCCAGTCACATCTGAAAGTAGGCTGCTTCTGTCCTGGATGTTGTCACTAGGTCAGAAACAGGGGAAAGACCCTGACTTCTCGGTTCCCCTCTTCCCCTGCCTGTAGTGTCTGGACGAGGCGGATCTTTTCATTCACAAGGATCTTGTCATGGATCCTAAGAGAACAGGAGACACACACAGGAGAAACCAAGGGTGGCGATGGGCTCCATAACTCCCAGGGAGCTGCTGGCTAGCTGTCGTTTCTTCACAATGGGAGTCCTATTTTCTTGTCCTGGACAAAGGCAGTGGGGAGGAACAATCTCACACCTCTCAGCCGTCCAACCAACCCCTGCAGGGCAAATGCATTAGTTCCCGCTGTTATCCTGAGGACTGTTTCTCTGCAGAGGGACAGAAGAGGGAGTGCTCAGAGCACACAGTGAGCCGGGTCCCCAACCTTCCTCCTCTCCTGCAACTCACAGTGCAACTCAGTGATGGATCCTTCCCATAAATAACAGGGCCTAATGTGCTCATGAGAGGGGATTGCTTTTAGATAACAAGGATGTAATGGAAGCAGCCTCAAATGAAGAAACTTGCAAATGATTAATTATGGATCAATAAAAGATGATCCAATTGATTGTAGAGAAAGTCTGCAGCATGACTTCCTGGATTCGCTCAATGTATGGTCTTTTTAAAATGCTTGCTGTGATCATCCTGTGTTGATGGATCTACTTCACAGGGAGGGACAGTCTAAGTCCCCCTTTAAGCCTTCTGTGTCTGCCTTTAGCAACTTAACACACAGGCATCAGAACACAGGACATTGCATTAGCTGTTATTCCTACCAGACTTCATGATGTCAATAAAGGAGGCCAGTAAAGGCTGTCACTATGCAACTTACAAAAAGGTTTTGCTTTTTTGTTCTGTTTCAGTAAGACTGGCTTATTTATTGCCGTGTATTCCTACTTACTTTTCTCTGAATAACAAGATTAATTTAATGAAAAGAAAACCCAATTCCATACCCCAGAAAATGATCCTGAACATATCATCTTATTAAAAACAGATTTTAAAAATTAATAAATTAATTGAGAACTGGGGCCTCTGGTATTCCAGTGGAAGATGCCCGTCATCACCCATTTTCGCTTCACTGATGGGAATTTCCAAGAGCGAAAGGTTTGTCTCATCATTTCAGTGTAAAAATTAGCGCTTTGACAATACTTTGCATGGGCTAAAAGATGCTGGGAAAGTTTTTGACAATTTGAAAAGATGTCTATCTGTTTAAAGTTCTCTCAGTTCTCAGCAGGTGGAGCTAGGAGAATGATTGTTTTTCTCCTACCAAAATGTGAGAAAAAAAAAAACATTCCACACCTATAGAAATTTTAATCACAGAAAATGAGTGATTCTCAAAATGAAACCAATAATAGTGTCTTCTTTAGCTAGCAAATCTTGCCTCTCTATTTTGCTTTTAATTTTCAAGAACAACCAGTCACATTAGCCTACACTGCCCTCCAAAACCCCGTGTGAGGGATCCCACCAGACTCGCACTGCACCTGCCAAGGTTGAGAGGAAGAGGGGCTTGTCACCGCCCCCCACCTGATTGAAAGTAGAATATATAGCAGGAGAACCAGGCTGCACACGTACTGTACAAATTTGGGGGGAAAATATTGTTTTACACAATCACATAATAGATGCTCATGGTTAAAAACAAACACAGGAAAAAAAGGAGAGGCTTTCTTCAAGTGTGTATTTATTTATCTTCTGATGGAATATTCTTTTTGGGCTTTTGAACCCAGCAATGCCCTCAGGAGCGAGGGGTGAGGGGCATTTTGCTCCCCATGATGATGGCATGTAGGCTCCTGGGGCACAAGGCAAAACCACCGTATGAGTTCCCAGCTCCACTATTCTTCAAAACATAAACAGGCCAAACCAGGCAGGAGCCTAATAGCAGGAACATATTTTGTATTATAAAAATACACAGTAGCATATACTTAACAAATCTTCTTACGCAGTGACCCCTCTCCTGCAGGAAAAGTAATCATGGCATTCTAGAGTTTGCCTGCATTCAACCAACATAAAATCAAACTCAAATGTGCCTAGATGTACATCTAAAGCCTCTGAAATAATTCTAACAGTTGAAAAAGATGAATGAGATAAACAGAAGGAATTAACATACAACAATTATTCTTCCTTTGTTCAACTCTTCCCATGAAGTATAATTTCTTTTACTATTGTAATTCTCAAATTCAGCTTAGGCAGCTGAGAATGTGTATCACTGCTCTTTAATGAAGAAGGTTTAATATTATTCACATTGACTATTATACTCTCCTATATGCTTAGACACTTCAACTCTAATAACACCACTAGGTAACACTAAAAGGACACCAAGCTTTACATAAAACCCAAGGTCAAAAATAATTAAGGGGAAAAAAGTCAACTTTTTAAGAAATTCTTTGGATGGAATTCTTAAAAATTAAAAATGACAGTTTTTTTTTGCGCATGTGTGTAAAGTAACAGTTAAGTCAACTCTATTTTTAAGTGAAGATATTATTACATTTGATTATTATAGGTTGGAAAAATGTCTTCAGGTAGAGGAATAATCAATTCAAAAAATGTCTTCCAACTTTACATTTGTAGACCATTTTACAGTTCAAGGCAATTTCTCATTCCTTATTTCACTTAAGCCAGTTAAAAAACCCAGTTTTACCTGACTCATTGAGATGTCTGACTCAGATGTGATGTGTGTCAAAAGGAGTCTGTGATTACTGAGGGAGCACTAAAATTGGCAAATTAAAAATATATAGTTCAAGAATATGTTCAAGATGAAACTTGTGAGGACTTCATTCTAAGGCTTTTGCTTTCTGATGTGTTACATTCTGAGGTGTTGCATTCTGACATGCTGCATTCTTCCTGATATGTTGCATATTCTGACATGTTGCATTCTTTCTGATGTGCTGCATTCTGACATGTTGCATTCTTTCTGATGTGTTGCATATTCTGGCATGTTGCATTCTTTCTGATGTGCTGCATTCTGACATGTTGCATTCTTTCTGATGTGTTGCATTCTGATGTGTTGCATTCTTGCTGATGTGTTGCATTCTGATATGTTGCATTCTTTCTGATGTGTTGCATTCTGATGTGTTGTATTCTTTCTGGTGTGTTGCATTCTGATGTGTTGCATTCTTTCTGATATGTTGCACTCTGATGTGTTGCATTCTTTCTGATGTGTTGCATTCTGATGTGTTGGATTCTTTCTGATGTGTTGCATTCTTTCTGATGTGTTGCATTCTGATGTGTTGCATTCTTTCTGTGTTGCATTCTGATGTGTTGCATTCTTTCTGATATGTTGCAGTCTGATGTGTTGCCCTCTGATATGTTGCATTCTTTCAGATATGTTGCATTCTGATGTGTTGTATTCTTTCTGGTGTGTTGCATTCTGAAGTGTTGCATTCTTTCTGATATGTTGCATTCTGATGTGTTGCATTCTTTCAGATATGTTGCATTCTGACGTGCTGCATTCTTTCTGATATGTTGCATTCTGATGTGTTGCATTCTTTTTGATGTGTTCCATTCTGATGTGTTGCATTCTTTCTGATATGTTGCAGTCTGATGTGTTGCATTCTGAAGTGTTGCATTCTTTCTGATGTGTTGCATTCTGATATGTTGCATTCTTTCTGATGTGTTGCATTCTGATGTGTTGCATTCTTTCTGATACATCACATTCTGATGTGTTGCATTCTTTCTGATGTGTTGCCCTCCGATATGTTGCATTCTTTCAGATATGTGGCATTCTGATGTGTTGTATTCTTTCTGGTGTGTTGCATTCTGAAGTGTTGCATTCTTTCTGATATATTGCATTCTGATGTGTTGTATTCTTTCTGGTGTGTTGCATTCTGAAGTGTTGCATTCTTTCAGATATGTTGCATTCTGATGTGTTGCATTCTTTCTGGTGTGTTGCATTCTGAAGTGTTGCATTCTTTCTGATATGTTGCATTCTGGCGTGTTGCATTCTTTCAGATATGTTGCATTCTGACGTGTTGCATTCTTTCTGATGTGTTGCATTCTGATGTGTTGCATTCTTTCTGATATGTTGCAGCCTGATGTGTTGCATTCTGAAGTGCTGCATTCGTTCTGATATCTTGCAGTCTGATATGTTGCATTCTGAAGTGTTGCATTCTTTCTGATATGTTGCATTCTTTCTGATGTGTTGCATTCTTTCTGTTATGTTGTATTCTGATGTGTTGAATCCTGATATGTTGCACTCTGATGTGTTGCATTCTGATATGTTTTCTTGTTGAGTTTAAAAGATGGAGCTGTATGCAGGGTTACAGGAATAAGGCACAAACAATGGACCCATCCATGGGTGTGAAGCACATGTGCGGCCAGAACCCACCTGGTGGGTCATGACTGAAAAAACACTGTGAACTATTGCCTAGGCCCATCTCATGGTTGATATCTTTCCTGCTACTCTGAACTCTCTGTGACTGTCTATAATAACTGTAGGCATTTCTACACAACCAATAGTTTTTTGGAAGCAGGCTAAGATTTTTTACATGTATCATTAAATAAATTTACTTATTTTGAATTTAACATAAAGCATAAAAGATTTAAAAGTAAAAGTATGTATTTTGAGTAGGTATTTCCTTACATTGTGTACACCGTGTATGCATTTTGAATGTTTGTTTATCTAATAAAAGTTGTAAAGGCTTTTGGAAATATAAAACTGAATGATCCCCCACATTTCTGAAGAAATGTGAATGGCAAATTATAGGATGAATGGGATGGATTACAAGTCAGAAATTAAACTCTATAAAGATAAACAGAGACTGAAGAAGACAGAGAAATGCAATTGGAAATGAAGGCTAATTAAACAAAAGCACTAAATATGTCTAAGCAGCAAGCTACAATTAACATGGAAGACAAATTGTGAGCACAACTGCATTGTGAATATACACACACCAAATATAAATATTATGTTAATAACTGTGACGACTTGGTAGAAAGGTGTATGTTTCAGTAGGTATAGCCATTACATTTACTTTTTTTGGTATTTTTTTTTAACTTTTGTTTTAGATTCAGAAGTACATGTGCAGGTTTGTTACACAGGTAAACTGCATGTCACGGGGGTTTGGTGTACAGATAATTTCATCACCCAAGTACTAAGCCTAATACCCAACAGGTACTTTTTCTTGTTCTATTTTTTTTTTTTTGAGATGGAGTCTTGCTCTGTCACCCACGCTGGAGTGTAATGGTGCAATCTCAGCACGCTGGAACCTCCGCCTCCTGGGTTCAAGCGATTCTCCTGCCTCAGCTCCCTGAGTAGCTGGGATTACAGGTGTGTGCCACCATGCCTGGCTAATTTTTGTATGTTTAGTACAGACAGGGTTTCACCATGTTGGCCAGGCTGGTCTTAAACTCCTGACCTCAGGTGATCCATCCACCTCAGCCTCCTAAACTAACAGGTACTTTTTCTGGTCCTCTCCCTCATCCCACCCTCCATGCTCAGGTAGGCTCCAGTGTCTGCTGTTCCTGTCTTTGTGTCAATGTGTTCTCATTGTTCAGCTTGCATTTCTTCAGAGGTTTTTTTTTTTTGTGTGTGTGTGTGTGTGGAGATAATTCACTTTTATATTTCCGAAAGCCTTTAAAACTTTTATTAGATAAACAAACATTCAAGATGCATACAGTGTACACGATGCAAAGAAATACCTACTCAAAATATATACTCTTATTTTAAAAGTGAGAACATGCAACATTTGGTTTTCTGTTGCTGTGTTAGTTTGCTTAGGATAATGGCCGTCACCTCCATCCATGCTGCTGCAAAGGCCATGATCTCATTCTTTTTAATCAGCCATTACATTAAAGATGTCAGAGTTTTATGGGGCTATTTGAGCTTCAGTTAGCATCCAGGGTTCTTTGCATTGTCTCGATGACCTGGTCTCATGCAAACAATGTCTGGACTCACCCTCACTTGTTAGCAGTGAGCAGATTGAGTTTGCCTCAGGAGAATTTTCTAGGGACAAATGGAGATCTCTAATGTTGCCCTCATATTCCCCCTTTGGAGCAACAGCACCATAATGAGGGCGTAGGAACCTCTCAGTAAAGATTGCCTTTCTACTTCAGAAAATGCTGCTAACAGAAAAAAACAAAAACAAAAAGAAAAACGGATTTTTATCAAATTGGTAATGAAACACTTATTTCATGCTACTGGGTATATGAGGTATTATTATCAGAAAGATATCAAACAGTTAAACTTCACCTCTACTAGCTACCTAGGAAAAATATGTCCAAATTTTATCTAATTTAGGACAATATGGATTTTTAAGTCTTAAAACTGATGGGAAAGTCTATGGAATCTCCTTATATGGAAAAGTATGAAAATAAGCCAGAATTAAAAGAACTGAGTAAGATAATCTCATGAAACCCTTTGCAGGTTTATAATTTAATTTTTTATTGTTAAAATGCCCATGGTTTATGAACCTTAACTTAGAATCCTCCTGTAATAGCCCTGTTGAATAAACAACACCCGGGTATAATCATCTTCAGATACGAAAGGCAACTGCATTCGCATTTCTTGGGATAACAGCCAGAATACTACAGGTAGTAAACTTTGGGAGTGATTACCAAACCACCTAGGAGATAAAACTCCCTTAGCTTCCAGCTGATGCCTTATTCTCAAGATTTGTCATGACATAATTGCCCAGAATATAAGACTCGAGGTAATTCACTTTGCTTAACTGAAACAAAGCTTGATCCCAAAGAGAGAAAATTTTCAGTCCTTGCCAAGACTGCTGACCATTTCTTTCCAAAAATAGTGACTTGGGGTCAGTGGATCATTTAATATCCCTGCTTAGTATTGTTGAAAATTCCCAGGGGGTGAAAAAAAAAAAAAATATATATATATATGTATATATATATATATATATATATGTATTCCAAAGTGAATGACACAGAATGTGTAAGTGCTTATATTTTTAAACTACAAGTCTGTCTCCAAAAAATAACTTTCATCTTTTCTCTTCTAATAAATACTTTTTAAATGACCTCTCTTTTATTGAAAATTCATTTACACACACACACACACACACACACACACACACACACACACACACACATATTTGCTAATGGAAAAAAGAACACAACACAACAAAGAAGTGTATCATAAGGAAAGTTTCCCTAAAGTTCATCTGGATGTGGTTTTACATCATCCTTCCAGCCAGTGAACACACAGATGTGAAGACATGTGCAAGCCATGTTTGTTAATTTATAAAGTACTGTACCTCGGTTTTCCTGCAAATTTTAAAGCAACTGAAAATGAACTGCAGCTTACATTGCTAACATTTTCCAGCCCATACAAAGTCATAAGATAACCAAAAATCATGTTTCAACCCACGGTATTCCATACAATGAATGCTTTCACTCCAGGCCTGCGAATTAGGCTGACATCTTCCCTAGCTGTAATATCTCCATCCCAAAATACGTTCATTCAATATGTTCATCAAACACAGTGAGAATTTCTGTTTTCATACTGAGATTAGTATTGTGTGGAGCCACCTGTACAGGATTATGAAAGGCAGATCGCAAAGTCTTGTGATGGTCAAGACCCTCTCTGATCAGCAGAGGACCTTGGTACTCAGGCCTGGACTTGTGGAAACTGAGGGGTAATACATTTGTGTTAAGTGTGTGGTAATTTGTTGAGCTGCGGCAATAGAAAATGAATACAGTGACTAATTTCCCTAAACATTTAGAGGAAATTTCTTGGCATAGGTGAGTTTTTAATGCTAAAATTTAAAACAGTTGCTTTTTTCACTTGATGTTTTACAAATTCCAGTGAATTGAATAAATCTTCCAAGCCAATGCTATTGAGTGGGACCTGAGTGAATAAGGTATGTACACTCTGTACTGAACTGAATATTTTTCATAGTTTTACCAAGTTTCATGTGTCCCTTTCCCATTTGCCTATATCACAATGATGACGCACCTAACAGAAATAAATATTAATAGTCTGAATGTGGATATCACCACTAATAATTTCCTTTTAATTAAACACATGCTTACAAACACAATTTCCTTAGAAAAATATTTTCTTTTTCCAACACAAGAGAATTTTAGGGATTATAAACAAGCAAAAAAAAAAAAAAAAGCACATGCCCCCTCCAGTGTTAGTTGCTGCCTTCCTGTTAGGTGTCTTCTCCAGCCTCTGTTCCCCTTGTAGAGAGAGGCTGAGGAGGGTGGATCACAAGGTCAAGAGTTTGAGACCAGTCTGGCCAACATGGTGAAGGGTACAGTTGACCCTTGGATGACACAAGTTTGAGCTGTACACACAAGTCCCCCTCATGTGGATTTTCTTCCACCTCTGCCACCCCTGAGACAGCAAGACTAACCTCTCCCCTTCTTCCTCCTCAGCCTACCCAACATAAAGACGATAAGGATGAAGACCTTTATGATGATCCACTTCCACTTAATGAAGAGTAAATATATTTTCTCTTCCCTATGATTTTCTTAACATTTTCCTTTCTCTAGCTTACTTGAGGATATTTATATAATACAAATAGCATCCACAATAGGTGTTAGTCGACTATTTTCGTCATCAGTAAGGTTTTCAATGAAGAATCAACTATTAGTTGTTAAGTTTTTTGGAGAGTCAAAAGTTGTACACAGATTTGCAACTGTGCAGGGGCTCAGAACACCTAACGCCTGTGTTGCTCAAGGATCAACTGTATTTTTAAAAGTGAGACTGTAAGGCCAGGCATGGTGGCTCACGCCTGTAATCCCAGCACCTCGGGAGACTGAGGAGGGTGGATCACGAGGTCAGGAATTCGAGACCAGTCTGGCCAACATGGTGAAACTCCATCTCTACTAAAAATACAAAAATTAGCTGGGTGTGATGGAGGGCGCCTGTAGTCCCAGCTACTCGGGAGGCTGAGGCAGGAGAATTGCTTGAACCCGGGAGGCAGAGGTTGTGGTGAGCCGAGATTGCTCCATTGTACTCCAGCCTGGGCAACAGAGCGAGACTCTGTCTCAGAAAAAACAAAAAAAAAAGTGAGACTATAAAAATCTATTTTGCATCCTTCTTCTTAAAAAATTCTTCCTTTTACAGAAAATAAGTCCCAATCAATACCTGTTACCTGCTATGTATAACACAGCACATCCTTCCCTGGAATCACGGGAAGAAAACAAATGTCTCTGTTCATTCATTCTTTCACTCATTCATCCATTCATTCATTTGCTGTTCACTGAAGTCTAAGCCTGTACAATGTGTAAGGGACGTACAAAACACCACCTGTCAAAGAACTCAAAATCTCATGGCAAGGCTGATGTTCACATGAATTATCAAAGAGAAAGGGCTTTTGAATAACACAGACTTCTGTGGAGATCCTCCCTGTCCTGCTTGCAGCTGTTTATACTCTTGGCAAATTATGTAACCTCTCTGTACTCCTTTAATTGTCTGTAAAATGTAGAAAATCATATCTACCTTTCTGAGCAGCAGTAAAGGTGAGAAGAGATCATACATGTAGAACACATACTTAGGACTGCAGTTGTTCAGTGGCTAATCGGTTGTGGAAGCCCTGGATAAACACTGTGACAACACATGTCTGAGAAGAGGGAGTTGCAACCAGCCTGCCATTCACTCCCTCCCCTTACCGGGGGCCATCCCCAGGGCAAAGAAAAGGAGGCTGAGACCTGGTCTAATCTCCTTGTCAACCAGGATTGTTGGAAGGAAGAAGCCTTGTCTCTGAAGTCCTTAGCAGGACATCCAGCTAGGAATAATCTGTTAGTAAACAGAACCCAAGATTCCTAAGACATGACTTCCCAGAGAATGTCATGTAAGATATACAACTTTCTGGGGGTACAAATTAGAAATGTTTTATATTTTGAATGTTCCCTGCTGTCTGAGAAACCCCAAGACCTCATCTATTCTGGGTCAGAAGGGTAAGCCCAAAGTGGGAAGAAAGGTCCTGTTCTCACAGCTCCAAATTTGTGTTTTGTCTGAGGCTTCAATGGCCTGAGTCTCTGACATGGTTTAGTGAAGCTCAACACTGTGTAAAGTCTCTGGTTTGTGTGAGTCGGAGCTCACAGTCTGACCAAGCATAGCTCAGCGTTCTGCTCATGCAGGAAGGAGTACAGTGAAGGGGAGGCGGAGGCATTCACAGGCAGAAGAAAGAGATGCAGAGATGAGAGAGGGCATGGTGCAATCAGGCAATGGGATGTGTCAATTCTGCAAGAGCATACTGGAAATGGGAGACAAAGGCCCGAGTGCAGGTGCACAGGAAGAGGAGGGGCTGACGGCGAGGTCCAGGCACACCTGGTGAAGTCATCTGGCCTTCACCAGGAAGGCAAGGGGAATCCACTTAAAGGGGAATGAACTAAATCAGGGGACTGCTTGACCAGAACAATGTCCCTTAAGAGGGAATTAGGATGGAGCGATGAGGACAGCGGGCGCCCTTGCGAAGGCTGAGGTTCACATGAGGGACAGAACATGAATGAAGAGCAGAGGCAGGGATGGAGAGGGGAGAACAATCTGAAAACTATCTAAGGATATATAAGACTTTAAAGCAGCTTTA